>NC_000012.12:40187400-40338915 GCF_000001405.40 Homo sapiens | reverse complement strand
AAGAAAAATTTACCAAGGGATTACTGAAAGGCCATTAGGTACTCTTCCCCTGCTGAAGAGAAAAGCTGAGAGATTAAGAATAAAAAAGCTAAAGCCAAGTCATACATCATTGAATAGTATCCAAATCCTTTATAAGACATGCCTCTTTAAGTATATTTATAGAACACAGACTCTTTCAGAATACTTTCCAAAGGCTAAAAAGAAATAGTTAAGCTTAATTTGAAATAATGTCAGTGGCAAAGAGATAATATCTTGGTTAGTTAAAATGTTCAATTATAGAATTTAATCTTAAGAAGTGCAGTTCTAATAGCTTTTAATAGACTAGCAAAATAGCTTTTGAAATAATAAGTAAAGATTTTTCCTTCCTGATAATAATTTAGCCATAATTTATGCATTGTGTAACCATGACTATTGTCAAATATTTTATTAAAACAAACTGGTTTATATTAAGTTAAACAGTCATTCTTTGATTGTGATTATTGTAAGAGTTGCTAAGAGACTTCTTTCTTCATAGCTTAAAGTAAACTTTATCTGATTCTGAATAGAATTATTCCAAAAATAGAATGCATTCATTTATTTGACAAATATGTACTAGGTATCTATGAGGGCCAGTCATTTAGTATACAAAGCCATCTTTGTATCTCTGCTCCCTTGAGGGTGTCACAATCCAGAAGGATTGTGCTCAGACAGTCCTCAAACAGGTGTTTAATCAAGATTCCAGAAATATGTAAGTACCACGTGCTAGGGAAGCACAGAGGGAGAAAAACACTGAGGTAAAGACAGCAAAGTTGACTCTCCTACTAGACTGTAAGCTTTCAACCTCAAGAACAATATAATATCTAGCTTTCCCTCTTTAGCACCTAAGTCAATGTCTTGCACAGAGTGTCTGCAAGAAACACAAGTTGGAGAAGCTAACACTTCATGACACACTTGAGCTTCATAGTAGAGATGGTTTGTGAAGAAATTCTTAAGGAAAATGAGCTCTCTAGGCAGACAACTTGGTGGAAAGAGAGGAATAACAAATACAATGATGGACAGACATGAGCATAACTGAAAATTCAAGCCTGTCATCACGGCTAGAATGCAGTGTGGGCAGTGGGGTGGCAGGGGCCGCAAAGGGAAGCAAGAGGCATACAGAAAGATCTTTGATGCTATGCCAAGAAGTTTGGATGCACTTTGCAGATAATTGAGAACTGTCAAGGAATTGCAAGCATAAACAGATTTTTATTTTAGAAAAGAAATTCTGATAATTCCCTGGACATACTGAACCAAGACAGCAGGAGTGGCATAAAAATAAATGAATTGACTAAAAAGATAATGTAAAATAGAGTCAAGGACCTGGTGGACAAATGCATACTTGCTTTCGGGGGAAGGTGTTTGGCCTGGATGGGACAAGTATCCTGGCCTGGCAACTGTGGGATATAACAGAAATAACAGATTCATAGTGGGTGATGTACCAAGGCAGTACATTCCATTTTGAAGATATTGAAACACAGAAACATACAGAAAATGCAGTTGACTGTATTTTCATAAGTTTTATAGAATTATGATAAAGAGTTCAAACGAAGTGGATTGAATTGGAGAAGTAAGCTAACAGTTAAAAGCAAGATGGAGGAAGAGAGAGCATGTAACGTGAAGAAAGTTCTTGTATGTCACTCTAAACAGCTCCAGCATTTAAGGGACTCCAAAGGAGCATGATTTTATTTCCTGTGCTGAAACATACTTGGAAAAATAAACCTTAATGCTGAGTTTTTAAAATATACTTAGTGCTGGTAGAAGATTGATAGCTACTGAAATCTACTAGCCTTTTGTGATACAAAATCCAGAAAGCTTTTCTGGCATTATGCTAAGAACAAATTAGGCAAATTATTTTAAAATATGCTGACATTTCATTTACTTCATCAGAAACTGCTGGATTTGTTATTTAAAGTAAGGTTTCAGAGAACTAGAATAAGTCATTTTAGAGATAAGGTGTTTCGAACAGTGTTAAAAAATAGCAATTCTTCACTTTATAAATAAACACTTTGGGGATTTGTGGAAGAATTAGGGAAAAACTAGAACCTAGAGTTAGTTAAATGAAGGAAAGAGGGCACTGAAATACAGGAGACTATTCTGCACTTTACCTAGATTAATGTAACCCAAGATTCCCCCTGGTGTTCAAAAGCAGAAACATCAACTCAAATCCAAATCCCTGCACCCTGTTTCATTTCATAATCTGTACAGTTTTCAGTAGTTTCTGGACCCTTTCAGGAAGGAACATTTCTGGATACTACCTAAAAGGCATATTCATAGCATTTCAGAAGAGAAAGAAGAGAAGGAAAGTTGCATACACTGCTTGGCTTCTATGCCCCAGGCACTGTTTTCCTTCTTTCCTCCTTTCTCCCCCTTCCCCTACTGTCAACACAGTAATTCTGAAGGCTTACTATTTTAGGAGCTAGAGATACAATGGCAAACAAGACGAAAAGTCCCTTCTTTCATGGTACTTAGATTCTGATGGCAAGACAGACAATAAATAAGTTTTTAAAAAATGAAAACATAAAGAATCCTAGGCAGCAATAGTCCTATAGGGGCTGGAGAGACAAAGGGTCGTTGCGGACATCCTCTCTGCTGAGAGTCCTAAATGAAAGGATTCAGAAAGATTCAGATAATCCTTTATAATAAGTAGAGAGCACATCTGGGAGTCAGACATTCCTGAGTGAAATCAACAGCAGATATAAAGCCTCTGGTATCTGCAAGGAACCTCAGGGATGGGAGTGGCTGAGCACTGTACCCAAGAAATAAGGCAGGGGAGGGGTAATAACAGGAACAAGTCCTGATCCAACTTTCATGTTAGAAAAATCACTCCAGAGGCTGGGTGAGGAATGGGACTATCATGAGACAGAGGTAGAAGCAGGGGACCAGTAGGCAATGAGAGATGATACTGGCTCAGATTTAGACGTTAGTGAGAGAAATTGTTAGAAGCATTAAGATATATTTTGGTGGCAGAGCTGAAAAGATTTGCTGAAGGATTAGCTGTGAAATGAGAGAGGAAGAAAGGAATGTAAGGTGACTCTCAGGTGTAACAGGGTGACTGGGGTTGGGGAGCAATGGCAGAGGGGACATCAAGAGTTTCATCTGGAATGTCTCCAATTATTACAGAAGTCATCATAATTTTATGCATTAAATATTAGTCATGGTTCACAGACTATTTAAAAAATGGGAATCAGAGATATAAAATCACAGTTACTAAATGTGTGGAATAGTGATGAATCCCAGGCCTTTTGTCTTCAAAGACCACAGCCTTTCCACTCCAGTGTGCTCCCTCTCCAAAGCTTGCTCTGGATGCAGGGTTAGGTGTGCCTCTGAGACATGTGAGATGGTCATGCCGAAGAATCCAACATGAATCACTCTAGTCCCCTTGAGAAGTATGGACTCATCTTTCCTCATTGGAATCATGTAATTGACACTTACTTTGATACTGTGAAGCCTAACTTATACATTTTTATAGAAGGCAGATCAGTACAGGGTTAAGATGATGGGTTCTAGAGCAGAACTTGTGGGTTCAAAGTCTATTACTACTTGCTATGAGGTTCTGCATGGTTTCCATACTCTTATTTTCTGAAATTACAAAATTTGATCAGGGAAATGGTAGTTTTCATCCAAATTGTTTATAAATTGTTACTGGGGCACAGTGTTACTGGGAAGTGTTCTCAGAACCTGAGAGCAAGTCTGGATCACACTTGTCATGCACTGAATAGAAAACAACATGACCTACTTACCTCAAACCATCAGCTACGTGGAGTGCAATCCTGTGCTGTAGGGTTCTAGTGAGGCTGGCTTTGTCCTGCTGAAGCAGGCGATCCAAGGAACCCTTGGAGGCTAACTCCATCACCAACATCCGGGGACGAATCCCAGCTGCCAGCAAAGATATCAAACTGGGGTGGTGGAGGTGGCAAAGCACCACAAGCTCCTGCAAAAGTCCAAAATCATGTAAGAGTAATTCAACATCAGGTTTTACCCACGTATCTCCTTCTTTAAAGTGCATCAACAGGCTGAACATGGATTTCTCTGTATGACTGGATCATAGCAAACTTTCCATTTCTTCTCTGAGTTTTTTTTCCCGTATTTTCAGTAATAAAAAGCTGGTTTTGAAACTACAGTTGACCTATGGACAACATGGGATTGAAGTGCATGAGTCCACATATACATAAATTTTCTTCCACCTCTGCCACTCTTGAGACAGCAAGACCAACCTTTCCTCTACCTCCCCCTCCTCAGCCCACTCAATGTGAAGATGATGAGGGTGAAGACCTTTATAATGATCCACTTCTACTTAACGAAGATTAAATATATTTCTCTTCATTATGATTTTTTAAATAAAATACTCTTTTCTCTAGCTTGCTTTATGGTAAGAATGGAGTATATAATACAGATAACATATAAAACATGTGTTAATCAAGTGTTTATGTTATCAGTAAAGCTTCCAGTCAACAGTGGGCTATCAGTGGTTCAGTTTTTTGGGGAGGTCAAAAGTTATATGCAAATTTGTGACTGCACAAGGGGTCAGCACCCCAACCTTTATGTTTTTCAAGGGTCAACTGTACTGTCAGAATTAAATTTTTAAGTTCTATTTTTCCTTTGGCTCTGTTTTTATCAGACATTTAATGCAGAAACAGTGCACACAGTGTAGTCATACTAACAGGCCACGTCAAACTCATCTACTGAATTCTGGTTAGCCACAGTATCCTTCTCAGCCCAGGATTCTCTATAGCCACTACTAATCAGCTGCAACTGGCATATGAGGTAAAACCTGCTTATAATCTCTGGTTTAACGACTACAAAAGTTTACCGAGGATAATGCTCAATTTTAAAAAAATACATATCATCCCCTCCTGAAAACTCTCTAATGACTTCCCATTTCCCTTAGATGAAAATCCCATCTACTTCCACGGCCTCAGCACCTGATCTGATCATGCCCCAGGCCTTCCAGACCTTCTCGTCTCCCCCTCCTCTTCAATCACCACCCTTCAGCCACATTGGCATTCATTCAATCCCAAGCTGTGCCCAGCTTCTTCCCATCATAGGGTCTTTGCCTGTGCTGACCCCTTTCCCTAGAAATCCCTCCACCCTTCACATGGCTGAAGTCTTGCCATTCAGATCTTATCTCAAATATTACCACATCCTCAGAGAGGCCCGCCATGGGCCACCCTTACTAAGGCAATCCCTGGCTGCAACAATCTCTCTGCAATTCAAAAAAAGTCCGAGATATCATTTTGGCTTGGACAGAGGGATTGCCTTAGTAAGGGTGGCCCATGGCAGGCCACTCCGAAGATGTGGTAGTATTTGAGCTAAGATCCAATGGCAACAACCCTCTCTGTGGCCCACATCATGTGAGACTTCACAGCCTCTTTTATGACATTGTTGGGCTTGAATTCCAGATTCGCTTTATACTGTATATTGCACTTTACTCTGAAACTGTAACTCTGTTGAAATGTATAGCTTGTGTGATGTTAAATTGATTCATGCTTTAAACTGTGATTGCTGCAGAAGCACTGCTTCTTAACAACCAGCTTCAAAGATGTGGAGTAGCGGCGCCCACTGATTTATCAGGAAACTGAAACATGGAGAATTCTGCAAGCTGAAGAAGAAAGGCTGAACACCCTGAGAGGGGATTTTCCAAGAACAAAGCTTCAGACTGTGATCATATTTGCTTAGTAGATAAAATCTTTTTTTTAATGCCCATGTCAGTTGGTTAGAACTGATGAGAAGGAGTTAAGTTAGCTCTGCTTGTTTTCATAGGCACAGACAGAGGTCTAATCCAAATTTTCTATCCTGGAAAAGCAACTCACTAATTGCAAAGAAAAAACAGCGTAATAGTACAGTATAATATAGATCTGCCCCATGACTACTGGTAGAATGACCGTCAAATGTCATTTTTCTTTCTTTTTGTTGTTGTCTTTTTCTTTTTTTTTTTTTAAGAGAAGAAGCACATTATGCACACCCCTTTTTTTTTAATTTCTTCCACCATTCCCTTAGTTTGCCTCCCTGCTTATACACTAATTGGCTCTGTAGACATTTTTAATGTACTAATTTCCACCATAGCTCCCCAAACACATGGTGTAAAATTTGAAATGCATGCTGACAGCAAGGCCAAAAAATCAATTTATATAAGAAATTACCTACACATTAAAAGAGATTATGTCAGATTTGATTCACAGATAAGCTTCTATATATAAAATGTTCAATTTGGTTCTAGAACTACAGTGTGACTGTTGTTACTAATAATTAAAATGCCCCCAGGATATTTTGTACTCACATGAAATCTTCTATTACTCAGAGTACTTAAAATATTATAACTATGTATTTTTTAAAGGTTACAAAATTTACTTAGTGTAGCCACTAAGAATTTTTTGTAATAAATCAAGGGAAAAGTAAGGATATATAGATTCCAAAAATACAGTTGAGTTCTGGTATAAGATGGAAGAATTCACATTTAATTTTACTTCCTCTCTCACCCTGTTTCTATCTCTCATTCCTAATGTCAATAAAGACTCAAAAAAAGAAAGAAATCCCCAGTAGAATCCAAACAAGAGAGAATACAGGAATAACCACTGTTAACTAACAGTGTATATTCCCCTTCCTTTCCTCCTTAGAGTACTGAGTTACTCAACCCTCACCCATGCAGCCCCTGGACTTTAGTTCAGGGGGAAGTGACCCCAACATCAGCCTCTCAGAAAAGGTGGGAATATTCTAAGTAACAGCACCCTCAGGGCCACAGTGATCAGTTTGGTAACAAAGGCCTAAAGCCAATTAGCACAAAGCATTGCCCTGAACATAGTGCTTGTTGAGAAAAGCACAGATGACTCACTGGGGCTGAGAGACATCTATTTATTTAATGGGTTATTATGTAGGCCATTTGATTCCTTTGAAATACAAGTACTCAAAAGAGGTACCCTCTTTCCTTCTGTACTTGGAATAAGTACTCGTGAAGCCTGGAACCAGTTTATCACAATGGGAAAAGCCATTCTGAAGGAATTAAACCAATATACCAAGGTTAAAGGAATTTTAAAGAAAATTGGCCAGAGTGACTGGATTAAACCAATCCTATGGTGAGTACCTCCCATGACTTTTTTTATGGATGAAAAGTGAACATAATTTATCTGATAAACTCATTGCTGCAAGTTATTGATCTATGAAGAGATGTAGAACAGAGTCTGAAGTATCTAGAACAAGCTTGTCCAACTTGTGGCCCACAGGTCGCATGTGGCCCAGGATGGCTTTGAATGTGGCCCAACCCAAATTCATAAACTTTCTTAAAACATTATGAGATTTTTTTTTTGTAATTTTTTTAAGCTCATCAGCTATCATTAGTGTTAGTGTATTTTATATATGGCCCAAGGCAATTCTTCTTCCAATACGGCCCAGGGAAGCCAAAAGATTGGACACCCTGATCTAGATACTCTGCAGCAGATTAAGAAGCAAAAAAAATAATGCAGCACTAAGCAGAGGGGAAACAATTTCAAGTCCAGCATCTAGAGAGCAAAGCCTGCCTTCCTTTGGCAGGTATGGTCTCAGCAGTGATCCCTGCCCATGTAACCTAAAGAACAGAGTATCCCTTTGCAGTATGCAGCCCTTAAAAGTCTATGGTCTAACCTTCTTGTTCAGAAAGTGGTAACTTGAACAAGCAAACCTACATGAATGTGAAGAATGCCCATTCTAGTTACCTTTAATAATCAATACAGTCCTTCTTTAACAATCAATAGAGTACTTACTTCATACGAAGTCACCCAAAACTACTCAATTTGGAAAACTGACAAGATAAAAGAGAAAGATCAAGATGAACCCACAGAGCAAATAACCTCAGAGAAAAAAGCAATAATGCAAGTAATACAAAAAAAAATTCTAATTGACATGAACAGAAACACCTATGGACATTTTATCCAAAAACATGGCTACAAAGGAACAACCAGAGGGGATGGAAAGAATTGCTGGAAATGGAAAATATGATTATCAAAACAAAATTCACCAGAAAGCTAAATAATAGATGATGCAATTCTAAAAAATATTAGAAACCTGTAAGAGACAGTCAAGTAAGTAACACAAATTATAGATAAAACTTGAAGAGGGAACTCAAACATGGATGATAGACCCAAAAGGCTTGTCATCTAACATATACTCTTGGAGCAATGATAAGCAATAATGAATCATAAGTAACTAGATATAGGCTCCAGAGAAGCAGAGCCTTGACTGGGTTTAGCTTACTACTATATATATATCATATGTCCCATCACCTAACCTGGTACATAGTAGTTGTCAATAAAAATGATTAATAAATGTTAGGGAGGAAATAATAAATAATAGAAGAGAATACACAGAAGACAATTTTTCACAAAATAATGAATTAGATGGAATGAAAAACAACCTACACACAAACACATACTTGTAAAGGTTCAGAACACTGAAAACAAATGAAATTCAAAAGGTCAAATTTTCAGTTTTCAAAATGAAATTAAAGGTATCCTAGATAGGAGCAAACATCTGACTGACTGCAGACTTTTCATTAGCAACAGTGGGCACTAAAAATCAATGGAATTTTCTTCAAATTTTGAAGAAAATTGTTTCAAGCCTAGATTCCTAAAAAATAAAGTGTGATGACATATCCACCACATGGGAGGGCAAAACTAAGATATTTTTAACATGTAAGGACTGAAAACATTTACCTCACAAACACCTTTTCTTAAAAAAATTACTCGAAGATATTCTTCAACAAAAACTAAGGACAATCCAACCAAGAGAATGGATGGAATCCAAGAAATATTGAGAGTAATCAAAGAGGGCGAGGAAACTAACTCATAGATTAATCACTGCACAAGCAGCCTAGAAATCCATCTCTCCTGTTTAGAGCAGTAAGTCATGTGCTGAATGAGGAATGTCTTCAAGAAGAAAGTAGATTCTGTTATACAAACTGTATGATTAAGAACTTAGAAACACTTGAAGTCATGATGAAAATATATATCTTTTCCTGAAGTACGTTTTTTAAAAATATATGTATATAATCAGAAAACCTCAAAAAGCTACATAAAATAAATCACCACTGGTACTCAGAAGGTTAAGGTGAGAGGATCACTTGAGGCCAGGAGTTCCAGACCAGCCTGGTCAACCTAATGAGACTCCATCTCTAAAAACAAATTTTTTTTTAAATCAGGGTAAAAATGTGACCAAATTAAAATATGCCTTTATTTTTATAAATTGATGATAAATACATAACAATAGAGAATCCATTTGACTTTGATATTTGGAATGTTACTATTCTATTAGTAAAAGAAGTTAGTGACAGAAGGTTGCATTTCTTTATCTAGAAGTAGAAATATTTTGGTTCTGTACAAATAAAAAAATATATAAATGGCATTTATTGGTTTTGTTCTCAGAACCAAACTATAGACAAAATGTGAACAATTTAATTATGAGTACAGACCAGAATATAAATGTTATAAACTTTCACTACATAAAAATAATAGAATAAATTAAAGAACTTGAGAAGGTGATGGGAAAAGGAGAAAGAATAGCGTTAATTTTCCTCATCTCACATAGCAAGGAGTCAGTCCATGCTGTCTAGAGTTGGTATACTAAAAAAACAAAAGTTTTGAAAATCATTCCAAGTTATAATTGTTACTATATCAGGAAAATTAATGCAACCAATTTTAAGTTTTAGGAAGTGGACAGGGACAGGGAGTAGGAAATAGGATAAGCATGCTAACTTTCTCCATCTTTGTAGCAAGTAATCAATAGCAGTTCTTATTAAAGTGGATAAATCCAGAAAAGAGAGGTGCAAGCTTATCAGTGAGAGTTTTAGTTTAAGATTTCTAACCTTCAATCAAATTAGCAATGTGAGATCATGCATTAAACTTCTTCTTTCACCCTGAACACACAGAAGTCATGTTCAATAAAAATAAAAATCATTCTCTCCCTAGACCAGAAAAGTAAAAGATAAATACTCTGAAGAAAACAGAAGGCGAAGTCAGGAGCTTGCTAGGCTTCAAGGTCTGGAAGCAGGTGGAGGCAGCTAGGAGTCTGACTACTGTGGAGTATCAGGAACAATAATATGGCACTGAAAAGTCCCAAGTTTCTACATTTCTAACAATCTCCTAGGTAATGCCTGGCTGCTTGTCCATGGAGCACATTTTGAACAGCAAGGTTCTAAAGTAAAAAGAGGAGTGTAAGTGAGTCTTACAAAAAGTTTTACAACACACTATGTATCACGATTATAAGGATTCTCAGATACAGTGTTTTGTTTCTCAACAGGAGAAATAACACAAAACTTTCTACTCCACAACGAAAAGACAAACTAGGATTGCATAATTAAACTTAAGTAGAAATGTGGTCATTATTTTGCATTTTCACAACTGTATGCAAAATAAGAGTTCCAGTAGATTAATAATGTGCAATTTAATATAATTATATTATTGAATTTCTTACTTGTCTTAACAGCCTGAGTGATGTATGTTTATTAAAAATCTTCACAGCCACTTCTTCTCCTTCATAGGCTGCTCGGTAAACTGATCCAAAACTGCCATCACCTTTTGAAAAGAAAATACAAAGCACTTAAATTAAGCTGTCCAAGCGAAAAAAACTAAATAAATTATATCTGTTGTAATTATATCTGTTGTAAATTTGAATAGAAACCTGACCTACTTGTTTCATTGAATCAAATCTCCTTTAACATTTCCTCTTCCTTCTACTCCAAGAAAGATATATGTAAAGATTTTGTCCTTAACCTTCCCGTCTTCCCTCTACACATACCCTGCTCAATTATGTCATCCACTTCTGTGACTTCATCTATCCCTTTAATGTAGAGAATTTTCACATTTTCACTTATAGCCACCTCCTAAGTGCTTTCCTACACTTCCAACTTTGTGTTGGTGATTTCACTGGTATGCCCTTCCAACTCAATCACAGCCTATCAAAAGCCACATTTATTACCTTTTCTCCTAACTAGTTTTTATTCTACCTTCCATATAGCTGATGATAACAAGACAAAAAGTCTTTTTGAGGCCCTTCTGGAGTTAAAATTGAAGAATTATTTTAACTCTTGCTGTGGTCTAACCCCACGGCTAACAGTGGCAGTCCACTGTGTAGCCTCATTTACATTCCCTTCTTCTCCATTTCCACTACCACCACACCCATTTGGTGGCCTCAGAGCTTTCTGCTGAGTCCCAGGAGGCCTTCTGAGTTCCTTACTTCCAACTCATTCTCTCTCTCTTGCAAAATTAATTTTCCTATCATTCCACTTTGATTGTGTCACTCTCCTGTTCAGAAACAAATTATTCCGCGTTGCCTACTAAATCAAATCTAAATTCAGCTCCATAGTCATATAGTGGCCCCTAAATCCTTTTAAAGTTCTCCTCTTGTTCTACTTCTCATTCTCAAGGCTGGAGTTCAGTAGCTTTCCCTGCCCCAGTCCTGGCTGAATAGTACATCTGAGGAGCTTTTTAAAACGCTAATGTCTGGGTTCAAAGATTTTGATCTAATTAGTCCCAGGAGGAAATGGTCATTAGATTTTTTTCTTCTTTTAATTCTGTACTTAGTAGAATTAGTAATGAGCAGGTAAGGTTGAGAACAAGTGCTCTAGACAAACCGCAATAGCCAAAATTTCCTGAGCATGCTTTGTACCTTCAGGCCTCCATACCCTTGAAGAGCTCTGCTACTCCATCATCTCAATCCCCAAGGAGTTTGGAGGCCTGCCTCACAAACTGACCATGATCAGCCCCGTGGACTGTTACTCTCCACCGACATTTAGCAAATCCTGTTTGTACAATATTTATGGTTCTCATATAGTGCCTTGAAATGTAGTCACTTGATGGATATAAGTGAATACACACAAAACAGTCTATAAGGAAATATAGTAATTTTCAAGTGGTGAAATTACACATCTATGGAAAGCCTCTACCTATTTATTTTTTATATGTCTATAATGAGCATATATAATTATATTTTATGCTCAGAGAGAGTATATTAAAATAATTAACTTATTTGAGCATGTCTTGTATTTCTATTAGATTGTAAATATGTTAAAAGTATTATTTGCATCTTATCAGTCTTGGTATTCTCTCATTCTATCCCTCCAGTACTTAATATTTGACTTTTAAAAACCATTAGTTAGGATTGTTGGTATTGAGAGAGCTTCAGAGGGAACTGTTACATACTGGAATCAGAAATAGAATCGGGTAAACAGAAGAGGGAAAAGAGAAAGAAAGCAAGTAGAGGGGGAAGGGAGAGAATCGGTCGGAGAGATGGAAACATATAGATGCATCTTGTTCTGCCTCCCCTCAATCTGGACAACTATCAACAACAAAGAAAAATTGCAATGCAGCATAGAGAAGAAACATACTCTAGGGAGATACATCCAAATTTCAAGTTGGAGTAGGGACTTCTAGTTGTTTTTTTTTTCTTTTTTTTTTTCTTTTTTTTTTTGAGACAGAGTCTCGCTCTGTCGCCCGGGCTGGAGTGCAGTGGCGCGATCTCGGCTCACTGCAAGCTCCGCCTCCCAGGTTCATGCCATTTTCCTGACTCAGCCTCCCGAGTAGCTGGGACTACAGCCGCCCACACCACCACGCCTGGCTAATTTTTTGTATTTTTAGTAGAGATGGGGTTTCACCGTGTTAGCCAGGATGGTCTCGATCTCCTGACCTCATGATCCGCCCATCTCGGCCTCCCAAAGTGTTGAGATTACAGGCATGAGCCACTGCGCCCGGCAGAGATTTCTAATTTTTTAAAGCCCTTCTCTATTTGAGAATCGCCGCTGCATTAATATGGAGTATGGATTGTCATGTCTTTCAGGTGACTGAAAACAAAAATAAAGTTAAGGACTACTATTATGTATTTGTGACATCTAGGTTGGAAAGAAAATTGAAGGCAAGGAAATTTTCCTAACCCCTCAAATCACACCACTGAAGTGGAAATACCTGTCTTGGCTCTCCAGAAAAATAAATAGCTCCACAAAGAGGAAATGTACCCTGTGGCTTCTCAGACGCATGAACAGAATCCCATACATTTATATTTTAAAATATATTCACAAAACAAGTCTATTCATATCTATTAAGGTGGGTCGTATTACTCACTGCATAATAGTTACTGCTATCTTGGGAAAAAGAGTTACCAAAAGCCTGAATGCATTGCTGCCCTACAAATAAAAATGGAAAGAGGGAAAATTGAGAGAGGCATAACCTTCTCCAGATTACTCTAATATAAAGATGCTGGAGTCGCTACCTGTAAAATGTTTTTAGAAGGATACACCTAATTTGTTTAAATCACTGGTATTCAACCCCACCCCTTATCTTTGGCAACATCCGGAGACATTTTTGATTGTCACATCTGAGGGAAGGGGAGATACTACTGACATCTAGTGGATAGACAGAGATGCTGCCAAACATTCTGCAGTGCACAGGATGACCCTCGATAAGAAAGAGTTAGTTATCCAAGCCAAAATGGCAACAGCTCAAAGACTGAGAAACTCCTATCTAGACTGCTTTCTGTAAATGAACATGGGATTTATGGATTTATGGGACATGGGTCTAGAGAAGGGAGAGTAATCACAAACATTTTCCTATATGGGTAGCTAAACAGACTTTGCTTTTTTGTTTTTTGTTTTGTTTTGTTTTGAGACGCTCTGTCGCCTAGGCTGGAGTGCAGTGGCACAACCTCGGCTCACTGCAACCTCCGCCTCCCAGGTTCAAGCAATTCTCTGCCTCAGCCTCCCGAGTAGCTGAGATTACAGATGCCCACCACCACACCCAGTTAATTTTTTTGTATTTTTAGTAGAGATGAGGTTTCACCATCTTGGTCAGGCTGGTCTTCAACTCCTGACCTCGTGATACACCCACCTCGGCCTCCCAAAGTGCTGGGATTACAGGAGTGAGCTACTACACCTGGCCAACTAAACAGACTTTGTAAATGACGTTTCCACATACACTACTCAAAACGTGTCCATTCATCTGAAACACATTTTAATGCAGGAAAAAGAAATATTTTAGGGATCTGTGTCTGACAGTTTGGGATTTCTTCAGAGGAAGGATGCACCATGTCTGGTACTTTCCTGTATACCTTGAAGTCTGGGGTTAAGATGTAGGATTCAGCAAGGACAATTCAGCATTTTATGTTAACCCACTATTACTAATACATTAACTTCCTGAGTTCCAAAGCATTTAAATTCAACCTAAACTTCCCAATCAATGCCAATAAGAGGGGTATAAAGGAGTTTATTTAGCTTTAAATATCATGTCTCAAATTTTGGACAACTTTTTGCTAATAATATTATGTCCTGACTGACAGATCTTAGGCATTATTTCTGGGGTAATTTGATTAAAATTAAATGTATACACACAACAACAACAAAAACTAAACAAAGTAAGGTCAAAATTGTCTTCAAATGCTTTATATTAAATCAATCTAATGCATTTCATAGTTGTCCCAATGACTCTCAGGAATGTTTAAAACTTGAGTATGTCAGCCTACAGTTAATAATAACATACTGTATACTTGTAAATTGCTATGAGAGTAGATTTTAATAGTTCTCACCACATAAATATTTGAGATAATGTATATGTTAAATAGCTAAACTTCTCCATTCCACAACATATACATATATCAAAACATCATGTTGTACACCATAAATATATACAATTTTTACTTGTCAATTAAAAAAATTTGTACAAAGTATATCTTTTTTTAAAAATGATAACCGAGGAGCCAGACAGATCACAGCATCGCAGGTCTTGTAAAGACATTAGCTTTTATTCTGAGAGACATGAGAAACCACACATGTAATCTACAGAATGACATACAGTAACATATGTTGACTGTTTCTTTCCCAAAGTAGTTATAATGCATACACTTTTCATCTTCTGAAGTGTATGAGCATGTTTTAAAAACATCTTTTAGGCCCAAAAATCCATGTGCAGGAAGTCAAGATACAAATGAGAATATTGAAACATGGTTACCATGACTTCACCTTTTCTCAATGAGCACCTAAACATGCTACATGAATTCAATGATTTCCATCATACTCTACTGAAAATCACTGATTGAATTCACGGAACCAAGAAATGTAAATTGTTCAGCATATCAAAAAAAAAAAAAAAAGTATTTGAGTATGTCACCATGTAACACTTTTGACTTTAATTTCAAGGCTTTTAATGAATATTTCTATGAGAATTCAGCATTGTCACACTGAGTCATAAAACCCCTGCTATGGCTACACTGAGGTGTGCTTCCTTTACCTATTCTGTCATTTTATAAAATATGGCTGCTTCACTTAACTCACCTGAAAACTGTCTTATTTGCCTCCCATATCCCTGGCAATTAAGGCAAATACAAAGATATATTTCATAAATATTTCTGCTTCCATGATAATCTCATCCTCATCTTGATCCTAGTCTACATGATTATGTGCAAAACAAATTCCAGATCTGTAATATTATATTCCTTTAAAATATATCATTCCAAATACAAAAATTATAACAAATATATGAAGACAGTAAAATCTATGACAATATAATTATGAAATCTATTTTCTAAATTATAAGGAGAAAATTACATCCTAATTTTTATTCTCAAATTAACAAAAAGAATTACCTAGGAGAAACTCTGGAGCTTGTTCAAATTCCAACTCATCATTATTCAACATAATATTTCTAGGCAGGTCAGCCAAAATCAAGTCAGGGGCAATCTGAGATATTGGAATGGTGAGCCTTGGTTGATCTGGATTTACTAAGAGATCTCCTGAGAAGTAATAAAACATTTTTTAAATAAAAACAACATTTAAGGAGATACATAAATTTGTGGTTTTGATGTGAAAAAATAATGGAATATTTTCTATAATTTCTAATCCCTCCCTTTCTAACCAATCCTATATTTCTCTAGGAAATTTGAGAACATTTTAAAGATTCACTTAGTATCTATCTACTTGGAATTTTAAAAACTTATTCCTACGTTCACTTGTAGAATTCTGAACTGCTGCAGACTACCAGACATCTGACTAGAAAGTTATCTACTCTCTGCTTTTGCCACATTCATGAAGCTGCAGCTGTTATTATATGGCAGACATGTTGGTAAATTAGGTCCATGTATTGTCTATTTGAATCTTTATAACAGTTCTATGAGATAGATGTGGTTGGTATTCCGGTTTCACAGATGAGGTTATGTTGCTCAATAAGCCAGCATTCAAACCCTCAAATCAACATTTTCTGAATCTAGAATACAAGATTTTATTGGTAATAAATATAATTCAGTTTTCTGAACTGTCCCTATAATTGAATATACTATTTTTCAACTCATCCCTTATGGATAAGAATATTTACATTTATTAAAAGTCACTTCATAAGTATTGAAGGATCACTTAAAAGCATTTGTAAGTTGTATCAAAACATACCTTCCTCTGCTTTCTTCATCAAGTCATCAAGTAAGATTTTTTGATGTTCTTCACCATCATTAAAACTATATAATGCCCATTTCTTCAACAGAGTTTCTCCTTCACCACAAATATCAATCTCCAGCAACCCAGGAAACCATTCTTCCATGAGAGAATCAATGTGGTCCACAACTTGGCCCAAAAGAATACAGCCTACATGATTCAAAACAGAGCTCAACACCTTGTCTAAACCTCATACTGTCGCAAAGCTTTAAGGTAAAGTTTTTTTTTTTTTTAAGTTTAAATTTCTTTAGTGTTGCAATTGAAAACATTCAAATTGATTTCCTTACCTTTTCTACAAGAAGGAACTGTAATTTTTAAGAAACTCTCTGGATGATTGTCTAAGACTTCAGATCCTACCAGACAATAAGCTTCAGGAGACCAATTTAAGTAAATGCCTTGTCGCCAATACATTCTGTTTGGGCGAAGTGCTCGTTCTAAAAAATGGAGCCATTAATTATTAACTGCTTCCTAAGTTAAAGGGAAAAAATCTACTGCACACAACACAAGTGATTGTAATACAGATCTATTCATTTTGAAATAAAGTATTGGGTTGTTACTGATATGAGTCCTCATCCATATCTATTAAATATTTTATCCACAACTTTACAATAAAAAGAGTTAAATCCCCTGCACATTAAGATCCATTTCAGGTTGATGCTGTTAAGCAGTTTAATATGCTCGACAGATGAAGAAAGAAAATCATAAATAAATCCTCATAATTTTTAAAAAGAAGTTTTTGATCATGCTAAACGCAAAACTTTCTGAACTTTTTAATGCAATGTAACTACCTATATGTTGATTAATTCCAATCAAGGTAAGGTTTATTTTGGAAACCAGTAACACCTGTGTAAAGCTAATTTTAATCCCCAAAATGATATTTTCCCTTTGGAGTACCAAAATGTCTCTATTTATTTTAGAAGAAAGAGTTAGCATTATAAACACCGGATTTGCTCTTTTTTTGTAAATGTCTTAGTGGCTGTGCAACAGAAAAGAGATAATTACAGTCCCTACAATGTAATCACAGTCAAGATCTGAGTGAGCACCTAAGGAATTTTCTTCCTGACAAATTAGATGAGGTTATATGTGCTTGTGTGTCTTTAGATTGCCTACTCCAAGGTTTTATGAGCTTATTTTCTAATTCTTCAGCTGCCTTCCAAACAAGTAAACTCTGAGAAAATGGCATATTACTTTTCATATGCCATCTCCCTAATTTCTCTAAAAATTAATAAGTCTAAATTAATAGTCTCTAAAAATCTAATAAGTCTTCATTAGATACTTACCTCTCCCTGAAAGCATGTAAGGTGAAATCTCAAGTAATCGATTGATTAATCTTGACCAAAATCCCATTGGAAAATAAGGCATTTCATATAGTCGGATGATAATTTCAGAGTTCTCACAATGGGGAAGCTCTATCACAGGCCTGTGGTCAGACAAACTAAAGGCAAAAGGACACTATGGTTATACAGCCTCACAAAACACCCAACCTTGTTGAGCAAATGATTTTACTGCTTAAAGTCAATGAAGGTAATCATTCCAAACAATTGTAATCTTTTTGTAACATTGTTTCACTACATATTTTTCCTACACCAAAAATTCAGTGGTCAATAACCAATTCAAATGCATGCTCAGATGTAGATGCATGAAATATTTTCGGTAATCCCTGTGCACTAATACATAAATTATTACAATTAGTTATGCATAGACAAATGTAATCTTATATAAATCCTGAAAAATACATGTCCTAGAAAAAAAGTGTATATTTATTTTTAAAATTGGCTGCATCCATCAATCAATGTAATTTGCACATTTCAACATCATATTACTTTATAAATTTCCCAGTTGCTTAGAGCAGTAGGAAAAATTTCCATAGTATAGGCTAAAACATAGGCATCCATTGTGATGCCATAAATGCTTTTAAAATTCTGTTGAAAACTCACTATCTTCTCAGAACTTGCTTAATAAACTCTCTCAGTGTTGTTTAAGAACACACACATACACAAACACAGACACACACACACATTAATCTCCACTATTTACCTTTCTTAAATAATTTCAACAGTGATAAGCCAACTAGTAACTATACACATAAAGTAAGTGATTTACTATATTGTTAAAGTGTCAGATGCAATGTTTTATTCCAAAATAAATGATACATGTCAGTAGGAGGTTTACACTAGAAGCAAAATATATTTATTTATTTAATACATCTATTATAGACTACAGTTAGTTTGACAATTAAAAGAATAGATAGTGAATTTCCATGTAGCAATTAATTTTTTAAGGTTTTCTTTACCTGCTTGGAACCAGCAAATATTCTTCTCCTATTGGCAAAGCAATCTGGAATTTTTCTAGGAGCTTAAAATACTGTGACATGTAGTTCTTTGGAAATTTCCTTTTTTTTGAAAGAAATTTTTCCACATCTCTACGCGAAATAATGCCCTTAGGGTGTTTTGGACAACCTTCCACTTTCACTGTCAAAATCTGAAAGATTCGAGTCATAAATAATCACTAAAATTTATTTTCTGAAATGTTGCAAATTTAAAGCATTTTATGTCTCTTTGCTCAGTGAAAGTAGTCAGAAAGATTTTAGTGTTTTCAAGTGCAACACAGTACCTAATTTCTCTAGCAACCATGTGGCCTAGAAGCCCAGAGGGGCATTCACTCTCAAAAAAAAAAAAAAAATTGTTAAATTAAGGGAGTTAATTCGGATAGGAAATCATTGAACTTCACTGAAACAATGAACATCAGTATTTCCCTAGCTACAATGGAAAGATCAATCCAATACCTCACATCTGTTTTGCAGTCTCATCAATAATATATTCCCAGGAAAATTATCTTCCAGACAGTTATCAATACAGGTTTGAAATAGAAATATTACTTCACATTTATATACTAGGAGAGGACTTCCATGAATAGGAAGACAGACTGTGTAGCAGAGTTTCATGATTCTCAAAGTAACTACTGCATTTTGATGGATTCTACTTGCAGTGTCTGGGTCAGTAGGTCTGGGTTGAGGCCTGAGAATCGGCTTTTTTAAAGAGCAACCCCGATGTTTCTAACACAGAGATCACACTTTGAGCTTTGATCCTTGTCATGGCAGTTAAAAATCAGTCAGAACCCAGATTCAAATCCAGGCTCTACTACTAGCTCTGTAACCTTGGGAAAGGTATTTGATTTCTTTACTGCACAGCTTTCTTCTCTATAAAATGAGATAATAAAAGTGACTGTCTTAGATTGCCCTGAGAATGAAATAACACATGTAAAGTACGCAAAGTACATATGACAAATTTTAGCATATTTATCTATATATTCCAATTTATTTTGCTTTGTCAAATTCACTTTAAAAAGAGGTTTGTATTTAATTTTCTTTGGGAGATCTATAATGTTTAAGGAATACTTAAACAGAAGCAAACATTATTTATGCTATCATGTAGTTGAGTGAAATACCAGGTTATAAAGTCCTTAGGCCCAAGGACTTGTCTTACCCATTTCTGTATTTCTATTTTGTATGTACAGTATTTATTGAATCAATGAATGCATGGTTGATTGAACATATTGGTATTTAATGACAGTGTGCAATGGGCCTATAAATAATAAAAACTGTTGTTTAAGACTTCTCCCATGTTGTGTACTTTATAGCAATTCCAGATCGCTCTTACAGTTTAGGTGGTAAAGAGAATTGTTTGCTGTTTTAGTGTTTTTTAAGTGCTAAGACCTTTTTTGACAATTCATCTCCAACTGCACTTCATATTTTCTTTGTAGCACTCTGTACCACTCAACATATTATATGTTTATTTATTACTTCTCTTCTCTCATTTGAATATCAGCCCTATGAATGTATAAACTCATAGGCCCTGGAGTCAAACTACTTGGTTTGAAATTCTAACTCTACCTCTTCCTGAATGTGTACCGTTGGATAAATTATTCAACCTCTCTGTCAATCAATTTCTTCATCTGTATCATAGGGGCTAATAAAGTACCATTTGGAAAGGTTGCTGTGAGAATTACATGAGCTAATCTTTGAAAAGCACATATTAACCTCATGTATGTTAGCCATTATTATCTAGTTATTCTAATCTATTTTACTAAGATACACTTATTTTTTAAAGAGTTTGTGCTTGATTTTCCTAGTGGATCTATAGCGTGCTACCACTATTTATAGTGGAAGTTTCCAAAGATGGACACATCATTTCCATCCCTATACATAGGTGCTATTCATATAGAGTCTCTTTTCCTTCCCCTTTAATCTGAGCTAGGTTTGTGGTTGCTCTGGTTACTAGAATGTAGCAGAATTAATATTTTTGCCAGTCCTTGGCCTAGCCTTTAAGAGGACAGAAAAAATCTGCTTCATTTCTCTTGGTAACCAGCCACCATGAAAGATGTCTAATTATTCTGTGATCACCGTGCCACGAGGAAGCCCAACTTAGCCATATGATAGGCCACATGGAGAAGCACCAATACTCCAAAAACATGCATGTACCTTTCTTGCACTTTCCAGCTCAGTTTAATGAATGAAGCCAAGTGAATAACCCTTGCCAATACCATGTGGAGCAGAACCACGCAGCTGAGCCCAGTCAAGCCACAGAAGAACGAGAAATGATAAATTGTTCACATTTTAAGCCTCCAAGTTTCGAGGGGGTTTGTTACATAAGAATAAAATCTGCAACATTATCTTGACTTTATCACCTTTAAAAGAGCTCCTAACATTCCTTCAACCTCATAACCTGAATAGCTAACTGATGCCTTATTCAAGGAAAGAGAATTTTCCAAATTCCTTTGTATTTCTCCCATGTATTTTTATCAAGGTTAAATTGCCATGTAAGCTTTTTAATGTTCCACCTGATTAATTGAATAGGTCTCTTTCATATCTCTTTTATCATACAGTTAAATGAGTCTTGTAAACTTCTCCCTGCCTTAATGGTACCTTTTTTTAATAAGTTTAGTGACCTAACAGCTCGGGGCGCATAGAGTGGGTGGGCTCATTAGAGCTTCTGCACCATGAAATTATTCCGGCCCTTGCCTTGATTCATGAAGGTGAATACTCCTATTTATTTTTGCTAATAGCTGTCAGACAAGTTGCTCTTGGTTTCACTTGATTATTTAGAGATTTCATTTCCTTTAAACCTTAGTGATAAAATGACATTATATTTCAATTTATTGGCATAAATAAAAATGATGGCACTTCTTTTTTAGGTTAATCGGAAATTTAAATTATCATTTTATTGACATTTTAAATCTGTCTTTAAAAGTAACTTTGAGTGGCTCAAATTAACTTAATTTTTACTTAAATTATCATATTTATAACTATGCTAATGAGAAGAACTTTCATGGAGTTTCAACTTAATTACTCCACAGAATCTTCAGGAATTTTATTGCAGTCATAGTGAAAATCTGCATTTTTTTAAAAGGGGAGTTCTGATGCAAACCTCTTCCTTATTCTACTGTATAAGATATACCCATCCTAATGTTCACATGTGTGCAACTTCAAGTGTTCCATAGTGACATGGAAACACACCACTTTAGAGAGCAACTTTAGCTTTTCCTTGACTATGTGGAGTTGAGTTACCTCCTGATAACTATTGTGCGCCAGCTAGGACAACAAAATTGCTGGATATATTTAAAACTTCCTTTGCTGTACAGGATGCAGCTACCTACACATCTTTTTTATTTGTCCCCATACATGACACACTTTCCAAAACTACGTAAGTACCTCTTTATAGTTCTGAATTTTTTAAAATTTCCTGATTAACATTCTTTAAATTGCCAAATAGATCCAATATAAAATTAGCTAACATTTACCCCTCACTTACACTGAACCAGGGAGGCAATATAGAAGATAATTGTTATTTTCCTTATTTAAAAAGTAAGTAAACAAAGGCTTAATGCATTAAGAAATTTCACAGAGCTAATAAGTAATTAAAGAGACTGAAACGTAGGTCAAGCTGATGCTCAAGTAAGTGCTCTGGGTCACACTACTGTCTCCATTATCATTTAATAATTGAGTAAAATCACATTATCCATGACATATGTGCAGAAGGCTGAAAATCTAATTTAAAAATACCTACCAAAATAGTAATAACTGACACACTGCAAATAATTGCTGATTGCAATGTTTCAATATGCTCTTGAGTTCCATGGTACAGGATTTAGCCTCAACTGAGTTCTCTCTTCACAATAGCTTCCTTTTTTTCCTTAGATGGAATTTAGGAACAATTATTCAAGGCTGCCTGAGTGAATTTAATTACCTTTATGGTTTAATTGGAAGAGATATTTCTAACATAAAAATATATAATAATTTTAGGAACTCGGGCAGCCACATGCAAAACTATAAATTTTACTCATCAACAAATCAGTAGCTTAATGTTTCTCAACTAGGGTAATTTTTCACATTCTCCAAGCAATATTTAGCAATGTCTGGATACATTTTTGCTTGTCACAGCTAGAGGATACTACTTACGTCTCGAATATAAAGGCCAAAAATGCTGCTAACATCCTACAATGTGCAACAAAGAATTATCTGGCCCAAAATGTCATCATGCTGGGGTTGAAAAGCCCTGAGGTAGTATGTTTTGCTCAAATGGTCTTTTATGTCAAAGCTACAGAGATGGATTATTATAACTAATTAAACTCATTGGTAATGGATTATCATTTGGAGAAAAAAATCATTTTCCATGTGAAATATAAGAAAAAAATAGCTATAACCAAGGCCATCCAAAGTTTTCAAAATCGTAAGCATTTAAAGCTCAGATCATTTCACTTAAGTCAAAACTCACCTCCATGTTATCTAGATAGAGGTTTCACAGGCTCAGCAACCTAATTTTCTTATATGTGTTTACCCCAAGGATTTCCACAAAGCCATCATTCAATTGACTAATTCAGTAACCAAACCAATGACATCATCAGGATCTAGTAAAGCAGCATGGGGCAGAGTGATACAAACATCTGTATGTGGCTTGAAAACCAAGTCATGGAAGTGAACTCAAGACATCTTTCCTTCTTCCATGAAGCTCTTCAAGTAGTCTTCTATGTGAAATGTTCCACAGTTTTCCAAATTCACAAAAGTTTCTGCCTTAACTAAACCCAAATTCTAAAATGCTCAATGCTCTGGGCGCCATCTGTTCTATGCTTTGACCATAACCCCCGTGCCACAAAAATAAAAGACACCAACCTGTGCCATGATTTTACAAAGCCACTTGGGTTCCACAAAGTACAAGTCACTTAACTGCAGTGCTGGGTCTTGAAAATGAAGAAGGACTCCTGTAGTAAAAAGTCATCAAACAGTGAAACATGGAATCTAGAACAAATATCAAGGGGCTTTAGAAAAAATCTAGTCCAACTTCCTCATTTTGCAGGTGAAGAAATTTCAGCATAGCTAGTGACAGAGCTGGGACTAGAAGCTGTGCATCCTATGGTCTAAAGTTCCAATATTATAATGGAGTATTTTTAAACTACATAAAATGATCATATTTAAGCATATTTGAGACACTGACATGCATTACAGAGCATATTTCACACATAAGTAGAAATTCATAATTTTCTGTTTCGCTTGCTGAATACACACTACAAAGACATGTTTTATTTTCAAATACAGATAAGAAACACAGCATATCTCAGCATACCTTAAGAACGATGGGGAAAAGGAACAGATCATAAACCACGGGAAGCTATTTTTTATACAACAGAATCTAGGGATCAAAAGCAGCTTCCCAGTCACTTACTCTAGTACTATCAAACAACTCACACATTTCTAGCAAGGTAATATGATCAAGTACACAATTAGCACTGAAGTTGCTTTGAGAATTTTCATCTTTGAGATCAATATTTGATGCAAGAGAGCTAGATCTTCCACTCAGAAGCTGCATCATCTCAGGGAGCCATTGACTCTCCAAGCGTCCCAGTTAGACCATGCCAACAATAATTCCCCTTTGCAATATAAAAATAACTTTCACATGCACTAAACTCATTTGACATTATGAATGTCATTTGACTATTCAGGGTTCCACAGCTCCTGAATAGTAAAGACAAGTTCTAGAACCCAAATATTTTAACTCCCACTCAGGGACTCTTTCCACTGCTTTACTCCTAGGTGATTTCTAAATTTGTTTTCTTATGACATGATACATGATTTGTCATGAACACACATGATGATCTTCCAAAAAGAAAAAAATCAGTGGCCTATTAAAGAACCGTATGGATATTCTCTCAACTTTGAATGTAAATTCTATAAAAGATTCAGAAACACTTTTATAAGTTACTACAGCTGAGCTTTGAAAATAAGGAACGAAAAACACAAACCTGATTCATTTAGAAAGTGAACTGCGTGAGGAAGCTCATTTTCATCTAACTGCAGCTGATTTTCTCTCACTAGTTGTAATAATCGTTTCCGGTCAATTACGGGAAATTCAATTGGCACATTTTTACGCTCCGATAAAATGATTTTTTCAAGTTCTACATAGCAGTCTGGAATCAGCTGTCCAACAACAAGCTGATCTCGGATCTATGAAATTACAAATGACAAGCCGTAAAAATCTATTTTATTTGTGTATTTGTCAAATGGTTGGCAAATTCAGTGCTAACAGTTTTTACAGAAACAGATATATTATTCAGAAGTACATTTTTAAATAAAATCAAAATATAATAAAAAGCTATTTAGGTTGTAAGGAACAAGTACAATGAAATTAAAATAGGAAAATTGTTGATTCAGAGGCAAATTTGGAAATATCAAATAAAATAGTATGGAAATATTTATCTCGCTATCCAGAAATTCCATGGAAAAAAAAACAAGATAAATCACTAACCATAAAAAAGATTTTTTATATCCTAAGACATTAAACTTAATGTGAAACAGACACGCTAGTATAAGATATCAGTACAAATTACAAGAGCTTTTGGATATTATTATATTTTAAATATTCAAGGTAAAATATTAAATTTTGTGCTTGGTTATTTGTAAAATGTTATATTGGGAGGACATATATATCAACAGTGAAACGCAGAGACATAAAATCCCACTCAAGCTATGTTTTTCATGGAACCTTGAACTTGGGAAAATGAGAAATCATCTAAACATCAGTGATTCTGATAGGAGAGGATGATCATTGTTCTGTTGCTCTTAGAATCTAATCACTATCAACAAAATGAGAAATATATAAAATAAGATTTTTTTAAAGAATGGCCCTAAGAGGATAGTTTCTACAATAAAAGTATCTTCCAAACGTTTTTTAAAATATAATTTTAAATAGAAATGCAACTCTTAATAATATCCAGAGTGCCGTTAAGAACCACCAGATGGCAAACTCTCCCTATTTCTGGACCTATGGAAATTACATATTCTTTTTATCTGAAAATACGAATCAGAATTTCTGCTTAAATTCTTACACTTACTACAAATAGAAATTCAGCACACACAGAAAAAAATTAACTTGGTCTTTTTCTACTTGTGACTAAAAACTTAAAGAGACAACCATAACCATTACTTCCATATTTACCTGCAAATGGTTACTCAAGAGACTGTTTTCATGTATCTCTTAACCCAGAGAATTAGAGATAATTTCACTAACCTCCACTTTTCATGTTCCCTCTCTTAGTCGTTCATAAATTAAGATGAAATTGAACTTCAGATTGAGGTTTATGTTTTAATCCAAGGCAGGAAACCTCCATATAAAAATAAACAAGAGTTCTCAAAGAAAGCAAATCAAGTAGAAACGGGATGAGTTTTACGGGACTACGTCTCAAGGCCCACAGAGATGCCTGCTCTGCTAATGGGCTGGACAAGATTAAAAGGAGTATTGTCAGCATTGAACTCTGTTTTGTCCTGCTTCTCCTTTCAGCATGATTATCAGTTAACTGACAGGCTGAGCCAAAAAACAAAACTTAAAAGTGTCTGCACAGACACCTGTTAATAAGGTTGAGACAGAAAAAGATTAGAGAAGAGCTAAGATCAAAGGCAAATATGAAAAATAAATGAGAGGACAAAAAATGATCTCTAATAGATTAAAAGCTGCTCTTTGAATTCAGGTTGAAGCACCTCAGGGAAGAAAGAATTTTCAAGTTCTGGCAGGCTCACAGGCCCTGGGTCATCTGAAAGAGTCATTCTTCTACAAAGCAATCAAATGAGTTTTCAAACCATTATGCCAGAATGCTGCATCCATTAGCAATATATACTTTTCTTTCAATAATACTGGTATTTCTCAAAGCATTTGTTTTATTTCCTTGTAAAAAGTTGTCTTCAAAGGTGATTTATAAGTGCCAAAAGAAAAACTAGTCTGACTTATTGGTAATGATATCTATTAGACAAAAGCAGTATTAATACAGCTTAATGAACCATCTTATCTGTGACTTTGCATCAACTAAATTCAGGCCTTTTCAAAACAAACTCATCCTCCAACAAGTCTTTTTAAAGATATGATACATTCTCTGACAACAATGACAAAAAGGGAAACTCAAAATATTCTCAGTAACAACAAAGTTATTGAAGTATGGGTATAGTCTCAGAAAAAAAAAACACCTGGATTAAGAGATTAATTGGATGAATAAATTTTGTGTATTTGTTTTTCTTTAAGTCATATTAGTTTCTAATTACATGTCCAACAAGAGAATAGGAAAGTCTACAAATAAATAATATGTCATTTTTACATGACATTACCATCTATCATCAATAAAACCTTTTAATAACTGTAATAAATGTGTGTTGAAGGATACAAACATACAAATTCTCTCCCTGGGCACCGCAAAAGCCATCACTTTTACAAATGGCTCATTAGGTTTTGGAGTGAAGCACACATAATCTATATAAATGGAACAGAACTAAGCTAACTGGCCAGCATGGAGTTATAACCAAGGTGACTATATAATTTATCATCCAAATTGGAATGCTTTTGAGAATATAGTGGGACACTATTACATAATTATGCTGGGACTGCCCAGGCCAAATAGGACTCTATTTATCAGCCAGTATCTTGATCATTAGTGCTATTGAGCTAAGCCAAGACAGACTAAGTGAAATTCATCATTATGTTTGTCATATGGAACTATCAAGGGTATTTTTCAGTACAGTTTACACCACACTCCCTGTAGTACCCAGTGAAGATTTCTTTTTTCTGCCAAGTATTTAAAAAAAAAAGTGTTCTCTCTGATAACTGATTTATTTACATTTTATAAAAATTTGGCTTACGAGAAGATAACTTTAAACATTTAAAACATAATTCCTAAAATAAAAAGCCCATTTTGTATGAACTAAGTAATTAGTGAGACACTGCTGAAAACCAAGTTAGTGGTCTTCATGACTAAATAAAACAGCTGCCTCACAATACGGAGGGAAAAAAATTGGAATGGGAATCACAGTGACAAAATTCATGAATGAGTGGCACAAAAGATCAAGATGTCCATAAAACAGGAATTCCAAAAGAAAAGAGGAAATGGAAAAATAACAGTTAAAGAATAATAGAAGAAAGATGATCCCAAGACCTCAGTATTCACCTTTACCCTTGTGATTGAATCACCACTATAAGAAGTTGAATCAGAAAAGGCATCAAAAACATTTTCTCAGATTCTCTCTCAGAAACATTTTCTCAGTATCCCAGAAACGGTCTCTTAGTTTCTCTCAGGTTCCTCTAATTATTTTTTGTTCCCATTTCTATGAATTAGAAATGAAGTCTGGCATAAATAATTTTAAAATGGAAAGGACTTTAATAATGCTAACAGCAACAAGGAAAGAAAACCCACAATTTTAAGTGAGTTGCTCACTTCTCAAAATTTCTGACATTTCTAGGCAGTTGAGAATCAATAAATTACATTTCTCTACCAGCCTACCATGTTACCTTGAAATTAAGGCTCTCGTTTATGATGGTTTTCCGAAGTTTTGCCAAAGCATCAGATTCCTCGGTGGCATTCACAAAGTGGTAATCTCGTATGGCAGGGAACCCTCGCTTATTCAGGAGTTCCTTGGTGATTTTACTCATGCAGGCTTTGCGTTGCTTCTCATCAGAAACATCCAAATGTGTGCCAACGAGAATCACAGGGGAAGAAGAAGCGCGAGCCTGGAGGGAAAGACACAAAACCCTCTTGTGTTTGCTTTCAAACTGGGCCTGCTCACATTCCTGTTGATATTTGCTTTCCGTGACATTCACTTGAATGGAAAAGAGAAACTAGCAGACTTCAGAAGAAGAAAAGAACAACTGTCCTTTTTTCCTTAAACCTAAGAAAAAAATGTAACCTTACGACATTTTAAAAAGTCATTTTTGGCCTTTCTTAACCCAATTCTTCACCCTTTTAGGTGGCATATATAACGGTAGTGGTATAGTTTTCCTTTCCCATCTTCATGCCTTAAGATGAGTTATTCACTCCTAAATAAAATAAGCATTTCATAAACCCACAAATTATATCAAATTAACGTCATATAGTTTATATTTTCTCTTCCTTATCTGTGAATTTAATCTTCTAAATTCGTTTTAAAGTCAACCAATTTGGAGTCTACAATGAAAGAATAAAAGCCACTCAAGCAAATATGACTGCCACTGTACTATTTGCTCACGTTGGCTAGCTGTAAAAAAGTTAATAAAAGAAACATTAAAAAATACCCAAATTACAAAACAAGCATGTATGCAGCCAATTACATGGTTAAATGTCCTGACACAAGCTTTTTAAGGACTTTATGCACAGAAGAGTTCATTGCAGCATCATGCAAGCAGCAGTTTAGTCTCCATTCTAAAAAGCCATAGTGTTTGAAGGAATAGCTGACAACAAGACAACAAAGGAAAAGATAGAAAAGCAACAAAAGGGAGATTCCAGATGTAACAGCATAATAATCTGGGACCACTTAAAGGATACAATCTGAAGAATTTCACACTAAATGGCCCCTGAGTACAAAGTTGATGAGATATATATATATAGATTGCTTTTCTTTAATATAGCTTATTTTAAATTAGAAAAATTTAGATTTCATTTAAGAAATAATATAATTAAAAAACAGTTGAACATATATATTTTCAAGTTTTACAGCATAAAAGAGTTTCAGGTTACCAATAACATTCACCAACATGGAACATACAATTTTCATGTTATGACTTCATTACTCGGAAAGTTTCCCAATTCAAAATTTTAGTGCTTCTTTTAAGAAAGTATTTAAAGAGACTGAAGCAATTGTTTGCCCAAAATAAATTAACTTACACACACACACACACACGCACACAGACACATGAATTATTTTCTATTTTCAAATGATCAGAACAAATCACCTTTATATTGAAGAGCCAAGGCTTCATGGCATCAACTTCAGCCTGTCCCTTGCTGAGGTCATAGACAGCAAGGTACAATGCTCGCTGCGTCATAAAATGGGGATGAGTACTATAGAATTCCTCACGACCTAAATAAAGATTAGAGACAAATTTTTTTAATCTTTCAAACGACAGGCAAGAATCCTTTTTTAAAAAAAAATCTGGGAGAATAATACTATTTATTATTTAGCATACTAATAAGAGAAAAACAACAGACCATGTTTAGAGAACTATTCTGGGTTTTTACTAGGATTGACCACTTTTAGCATATTTGTCAGCAACCGATCAAAGTACCTAGCACCAAATTGTTCCTAACATATCCCTCCATGTTCTTCTCCATTCTGGAGGCAAGGGTAAAATTAGGAGAAATGAAGGGCTTTGGAATAATTCCATACAGTCTACCAGGTTTCTGGATATTAGAACAGAAAGCTCAGTTTTTGAATCCCTGTTCCAAACAAATGGTAAAAGTGAATTTTAAAATTCTATAGAAAGAAATACCTGCAAAATCCCACACATTTAGGACGAGATCTCTCTTTCTTTTGTCTCTTATTTGGATAGGCCAGTCTTTCACATCTATGCCAACTGTGGCACTTTGCATTCCAAGATCTGATTTCTTGGTTTTCATTAATTGCTGCAATAAGGTGGTTTTACCACTCCCAGTATTTCCCACAATCATAAGTTTCATTCGGTTATAAGGCACAGCCTTTTTTAATCGCTGTTGAAGAAACCTAGTATTTGAAAGATAAAAATAAAATAATAAACTGCTTAAAAGTATACTTGAGATTTAGGTGAGTTCTTTTACATGTCACACTATTCTAAAATATAGTATCCAGAAGAGTGCATATCTCATATAACTAATAATGTACATGTCTTTCAGAGTACTGTTAATGCATATATTTTGCTAGAGATTTTAGGGTAGTTGATAATGTTTGGTAAAATCACCAAAGAAAACATGTTACACTATCACCAGAAATAATCAAAAGGCCAAAATATGTTTGCAATACTAATTAGAATACGATATGCAATATATATATACCTCTATATATACACACATATACATACATGTATACATATTCTAATGTCTTTAAATAGTATGAAAAACCCTACAAATTATACGCCAGGTGCGGTGGCTCGCACCTGTAATCCCTGCATTTTGGGAGGCCGAGGTGGGCGGATCATGAGGTCAGGAGTTTGAGACCAGCCTGGCCAATATAGTGAAACCCCGTCTCTATTAAAAATCCAAAAAGTAGCCGGGAACAGTGGCAGGTGCCTGTAATTCCAGCTACTTGGGAGGTTGAGGCAGGAGAATCGCCTGAAGCCAAGAGGCAGAGGTTGCAGTGAGCCAAGATCAGGCCACTGCACTCCAGCCTGGGTGACAAGAGTGAAACTCAGTCTCAAAAAAAAAAAAAAAAAGAAAAGAAAAGAAAAGAAAAACCCTATAAATTATAAAGTTCAAAATTTCACAAAGTCCATATGACATAGAAACAAGGTAGAGATATATGTATACTGTTAAAGCTTGATAATAGGGTCATATTAGTTACATTATATATGTGTGTGTATATATTCATATATGGTATATATGATGTATAGCTATATATTCATGTATATCACATATGCATATAATAGTATATATGGATAGTGAGATCACATAACATCATAAATAAATATAAACTATTATACTATCAGCAGATGTTAGCTTTCATTCCTAATGATCTTAATGTAAAACCTGAATGAAATAGAAGTGTTTAGGTAGCTAAAAAACCACCTTTAAACTAATAGTAGAGTCAAAGTGTTATCAAAAATATAATGGATAGAGAAAGATATATTTTGAAATATGTTAAAATGTTGCCACAGTTTCAAATTAGAGAAAAAGACTAAATCATAAGTGAATTTTACATCAGAGTAGTGATCAATTCATTCCTGTAACTAATAAGAATCTGACCAACATTCCTGATGATATGACCAAAAAGCAACATTACCTTTCTTGATTTATTTCTTAAGAATGCACCACTATTTGAAAAAATGTCTTTCTTCAAAAAGCAAATGATGCCTACAATTTCTAATCTGCTCTAGGTCTTTCTGTCTTTTCTGAAAATGTTAAACATGTTTAAAAATATTTAGTTATATATTAAATTAAATATTAAATATTAAAAATATTTAGTTAGATAATACAGTATAATACACTGAAAGCTAGTTCTACTAAATGTTTAGTAAGAACTGAACCAATTTTTATATGACCATCTTTTCCAGTTTCAAGAGAGAAAAATAATTGGGTAGGATGAAGGGTAGCCACAATTAGCACAAAAGATAACAAACTCCTTTAAAATGAAATCAAGCTCAGGAGTTCAGAAAACAAAATCCTTCCTCATAAAAACAGATGAAGTTAAATATAAATTTAAGAGATTTTAGGCAGAAGAGAATGAGTAAGTATAAATCACTGGTAATTAAACAACTATTAATTGTATGCCAGGCACTGTGTTGGGTGCCAAGATTTGAATAGTGAGTGAACACAGCCATGGTCTCTGCCTTGGTGGATATTACAGTCAAGTTGAGAGGTGATGACAGAGCTGAGGTCTGCAACGTTAATACAGTAACTGTGGAAAAGGGAGCAAAGGATTTTATGAGAAAGTAATAAGACCGATGTGCTGAAAGGGAACAAAAAGGAGGATAAAATCCATTACCAAAGATATTTAAAGTGCTTAAAGTGTAAAGACCAGAAACAGTGATACTTGAGAAGTTTTGGTGCTTTCAAAACTGATCAAGGTGAGTAGATTACTCATCCTAATGGGCAAAATAGAAGTTAGTAATTTCACATGATGTCAGTAGCTATAATGCTTTAAGATGTAAGAGGCATATGTTAACTAGTTGCTATATGAAATACAGTGTGAGAAGTTATTATACTGTGCTGTATTTCTTTAGATTGTGTAATTGGTAACCAGAGACCAAATAGCAATACTTATTTTCTTTTAGAGTCTACTCCACTGAAAAGAAACAGAAGGAGGAGAAGCCGCTCTCAACATTAGTCTGGCTAAGAAGAATGAGAAATCTCTACAGTGGCACCACAGAAACACATTCATTAAATGAAAGGCAAATGACACACAGCATATTAATGCCAAATATTACTATTTATTTTTCCCTAAATAGTAACAATATATGTCCATCAAAGTCACAGAGAGTAGAAAATCTGAAATAAATTTAGTAAAACCAAATAGAAAAAAATTATCTAACCTTATGATGTCTTTGGCTTTACATCCTATATGTTTAAAATCAAAGTTAAGATGCAGTTCATCCAAAGGAAGATCCCATATTTTGCTTAATTTCCCCATTTCATTGGGAAAGGATCTTAGTTCCAAGTTGTAACTGACATCCAGAGATGTCAGATTTTCAAGACAGCCAATCTCAGGAGGAATCTTAATGGGAAAAAAAAGGGCAAAACCTGTTGGTGGGAAGGAAGAAATGTGCTCTGCCAAAAAACGTGATAAGAAACAAGAAAGGCTCACAGATTCCATCAGCAGCTTGCACAACCTTTCAACAGAGTTTTAAAACTTTCCAAAGGTTTGTCATAAGTTGTCAGTATGTGTTTAAAAACATAAAAACTTACATATAAAAACTTACTCCCAAACAATCTATGTCACTCATCTGTAATATTAAAAAACCCAATCTCCTTTGGTAACATACTTCATCTCTTCAAGACATTGAAAGTAAGGAAGTTCTTACCACAAAATGGATTTGGTTATCCATTATCTGTGACTTCATTCTGCTCCTTCAGTAAAGGCAAGAAGACCTAGTCACTACAAACCTGCATGCAATTTAGTGTTCTCAAAGTACAGCTACATGCTTATACTTTAGGTGGCATCCTAATTGGAGTAATTTCTTTTCTGTTCCAAATTTTTAAGCAATATATACTATATTTATAATAGAAAACACTCATTTGCTGGCAAAAAATCAGGTAGCAAAATATATGCACAGTTTTGCTGAACCTCACAGTGTCAGACACTTAATTCTTTTGGTTTTTGTAGGCAATACGCTAGAACTTGAAAAATAATATTTTCTGAGACAAACAAATTATCAATTTCAGATTTACAACAGAGAGAATGGAGCAAAACAAAAAAGGTTGATCCATTAGGGTGATAGCATGGTGGCGGAATGCAGAAATTTAAGAATGTACCAAGGAAAGCTGAAAAACAAGTAATACAGTATACAGGCCAGTAACAACTTGAGAAAAATGGTTTATTTAAGAGTCTGTTAACAGATTGGACAGAGATTTGGTGATACAATGACACACAGCATCACATTCATCTATAATTATGTATATATTCATATAATCCTTTAAAAGTATATCACAAAAGTAATTTTTTGAGGAAATTATGCTGTGTTACCATATCCATTTACCATAGGGTAGGCTTACAACTTGTTTAAAAAACAAAAAAAAATTGAATGGTATTGATATTTACAATGCTTATTTTGAATTTATAGTTATTAAATGACATCCACTACTATTCCATAGAACACTCTTTATGAGCTAGTACTATAAAGAATTTTTATCCTTATACTATCTTGTGTATTAGCAAAGCGTTCTAAGTTGTTTTGTCATAGTTAAGTAACAGTTAAGAATAATTTGAGTTAATCTATAATATGTTATATGATAACATCACACATAATTTGAAATGAATATTCTAATAATTTTTACTTTGTACAAATGTTGGGTAGACAAATTTATATCTAGCTGTTTAGCTTTCAGATTAAAAGGTTCTGATAAGTATAGCATATTGTTTTATTGTTTAGTGGAAGTATTAAGGCTACTACCTTATTTTTAAAAGTAGATTTTTTTAAATTGTCGGTGTGAGAATGGAAATTAAATTAAGTGACACATCATTAGTAGCTGTTCTTATTTTTAAATTTAATGGAAATCTGGATTTATAGTTGACAGGAATTTATAGTTAACAGGAAGCTTCTAGTTTCATGAAATTGGTATTTAGAAGCTAAATATCACTTAAAATGATAATTTGTAATGATGCAAATCATAAAGTATATTTTTTAAGTGGCAATAATCGTCTTACCTCTTTCAGTTTATTGTGAGAAAGATGCAGTTTCTCTACTCTAGACCATAAATATGCTTTTTCACTCAAGTCCAAGATGCTGATCTGATTATGGCTAAATAAGAGTTCCCTTAAGTTCAAAGATTTCCAGTGTGCGGGACCTGGTAGGTACTGAATATCATTGCTGCTCATATCTAAAGACCGCAAGCTAAAACAATACACAGAAAAGACATAAACCAAATGAGTATTTCCAAAATACATGAAATAACATCACAAATAATTTTCCCCAGGGTGAGAATAAAGTGTAACGTCAAAACTAGCATTATTGACATATGAGTATGCATGTGATTTGAGAGCCTGAAGTTGAACCACCAGTGTTTAAGAACTATGACTCTGGGCAAGTTACTTCATCTCTTATGAAGTGGAGATAATAACAGTGGCTATCGTAGGGCATTATTAGGAAGATTAAAGAGATGAACCGCTGTAGAGTAGTTAGAACAGTTAAACACATTCTAAAGCTAGACGTAATTTAGCTATTATAGGTTTGTGTAACACTCTCTATGGCTAAATTCTAATTATTATTTGCCTAAATATAAGCTCACAGAAGAGCTCATTGCAGCATCATGCAAGCAGCATTTTAGTGTCAATTCTAAAAAGCCATAGTGTTTGAAGGAATAGCTGACAGCAAGAAAACAAAGGAAAAGATAAATTTACACATATATTTTTATGAATTTGGTTTATCATGTATGATATAATTAGAATAGCATTTAAGATTACAACACACTCAAGATCCAATTAATGCCTGAATTTAAAGTTAACAGGAAGCTTCTGGTTTCATGAATTAACCAAAATATCTCAAAAACCTGGAACTACATAAACTTGCCTAATCTTCCCCCAAAATTTCACTCAAACATAACTTAAGCATAATGTGAAAGTTAAGGGTATTTTGGCAACATATCAAGTTCCACAAACAATTAAAATTTTAAAAGTTAAAGTGATAGCCAGTATAATCTCATTTCATTATACTAATACAGCAATTAATTAAACAATCTTAAGTTGTTTTTACACAATGATCCACTAAATAAATATAAAAGTTTCCATTTTAAGTAATGAGTTGGGTCTTTTATCTAGTGAAAATCATTCATACATACAAAAACATCAAGTTGAGTAGGTTTAGAAATCAATTACCTCTATATGACTAAATCGAAATCATGTTTCTAAAGGTTCTGTTCCAGCTAATGTGCTTTTAAAATTAAAATAACAATAAACTTACTGTGGAAGATTTAAAATTGCTTCTGGAATACAGGAAAATTTGTTCTGAGATAATTTTAGGATTGTCATAGAAGGAGGCAAGAAAGGCATAGCAGCTAAAAGAAAAAAAATGAGATAAACATTTTAATCATTTTAACCAGATTTCCATTAAATTCAAAAATAAGAACAGCTACCAATAGTGTGTCACTTAATTTGATTTCCATTCTCACACTGACAATTTTTAAAAATCCACTTTTAAAAATAAGGTAATAGCCTTAATACTTCCACTAAACAATAAAATAATATGCTATACTTACCAGAACCTTTTAACCTGGAAGCTAAACAGCTATTTAAATATAAATTTGTCTACCCAACATTTGTACAAAGTAAAAATTCCTAGAATATTCATTTCAAATTATGTGTGATGTTATTATATACCATATAGATTAACTAGAATTACTCTTAAATAACTATAGCAAAACAACTATGAACACTTTACTAAAATACAGTATATTATAAGGACAAAAATTCTTTATGGTACTAGCTCATAAAGAGTGTTCTATGGAATAATAATGGGTGTTATTTAATAAAAGTATTCTTCGATCATATAATCTTAAGAGATTGGGAAACATTCAGTAAAATAAAGTAAAATATCTGAGTTCTCAATACTCTGGTATATTTTATGATTTTTTTATTTTTTATTATTTTATTATTATTATTGTTATTTGAGACAGAGTCTCGCTCTGTTGCCCAGGCTGGAGTGCAGTAGCGTGATCTCAGCTCAATGCAATCTCCGCCTCCCAGGTTCAAGAGATTCTCCTGCCTCAGCCTCCTGAGTAGCTGGGATTACAGGCAGGTGCCATCATGTCCAGCTAATTTTCTGTATTTTTAGTAGAGATGGGGTTTCACCATGTTAGCCAGGATGGTCTCCATCTCCTGACCTTGTGATCTGCCCGCCCCGGCCTCCCAAAGTGCTGGGATTACAGGCATGAGCCACCGTGCCTGGCCTACTTTATGAATTGTTAAGAAGGAAATGCAGTATGAGGTACCTCCAAGAAATAAAATTCTGTGAAACACAATTTGGGAAACAGAAAATCACACAGTCTCTTTTCTTATCTGTAAAAGAGTGTAGCTAGATCAGATGAACACTAAGACACTTGAGAGATCTACAAATCTACCGTTTCTAGGAAAACGGATTGAGGAATTAGTTATTAGCATTTTCAAGGTTAAAAATATGGGTTATTCTTTATCTAGACAATCTTCAAGGGTCAAAATGTTCCAGGACACTCCTAGAAGCTGTCTTCCTGAGAAGCAGAAAGATAGCTATTATACCTCACCTATTCGCAAAATAAATGAATCGAAATGATTCTCCACTTAAGACTTCAGAGTCTTGAGTTTCATATGCTGTATGGAAAACACTCATAAGGCCACAGAACTAAAACTTTATTTTACATGGGATTTATTGATTGTTTGATTGATTGATTGACGGAGTCTTGCTCTGTCGCCAGGCTGGAGTGCTGTGGCCTGATCTCCACTCACTGCAACCTCTGACTCCCTGGTTCAAGCGATTCTTCTGCCTCAGCCTCCCGAGTAGCTGGGATTATAGTCACACGCCACCACACCCAGCTAATTTTTGTATTTTTAGTAGAGACAGGGTTTCACCATTTACATGGGATTATTTTTTAATGGTTAGTGGTCCTGCTCAGATGTCACCTCCATGGGGCATCTTCTCAAATGTAAGACCACTTCTCAAACTATTAAGATTGTGTAGTGCAAAGCAAACAGATTTTGAACTGGGGTCCATTCAAACTTTCACAACAAGATAATTAATTGTATGCACCTGTAAGCATCACACAAAAAATCTCACGGCTTCAATTTCCTCAATTGGGCAGAGGTCATACCTGTCCTAGGTATGACCATTAGGATCATTGTGAGATTCAGCTGAGATGACACACTGACCATACACAAGCTTCAAGGTCCTTTTGGATGCTCCTCTTTCCAGACCCAACTTAAATGTCACAGGCACAGAAATGCTTTCCTGACTCCACAGTCTGAATCAGATTCCCCTGAGGTACCACAGAGCATCCTGAAACTTTTCCACAGAAGGCACCACAATATAAAATTACATTTATTTATGCCATCATTACTTAATGTTTGTCTGTGCTCTGAACTTAATCACAAGTTCCTTAAGGACAGAGACCGAGTTTGCTTTGCTTACTAGTGAGTGAGTCAACAACTCTATCCCCAGTTTCAAGATCATGGTTGGAAAGTGGCCAATATTCAGGAGGGTAGGAGGAAGGGAGGGCGCGGAAAAGGAGGAAAATACTATCCAAATTAAGATGGCTTTGATCATTATTAGTTTCTGAAAGCTCTGACAAATTAAAATACTATTAATAAGTAGTTAAGCCATATTCTGCTATTAAATAGAATTAAAAATTATTTTACTGAGTCAGGTATAGAATAAACACATGGGTGGCAAGATGTGAGTATTCTCTATGAAGGAAGATAAAATATGGGGAATTCCTGTTTATTGTCATAAAAGTATTTTGTTCCTTAAAATTAAAATGTTCATTTAGGATACAAATGAACATAATTTCCTCTATTATTTCATATGCTAAGAGAAGGCAGGGGATTCTACAACTTTTAATAAAAGTGATGATAATAATTTGCATTATTATAATGTCTTGCAAAGCACAAGAGCTGAATGAATATACATTAACTTCACTAATTTGAAAACCATTAAATGATTAATTTTATTTCTAACAACAGCAAAGAGTAATCATATTTATCATACAAAAAGTTGCTGAAGAAACTTCAGTATGAAAAACAATATCTCAGTATCAGGATGCCTTACCCAGCTCAGGCAGCCATGTGCATGTTTAGTTTAAGACTAAAGGGAACCACAGGGTACTACACAGTAGGCCAAGTAACTATCATTTTAACCTCTGACAATAAAAATGTGATAATTTTTTTAAATTATAGACTATTTTTAGGGCAGCTTTAGATACACAGGAAAATTGAGCACACAGTCCAGAGACTTTCAATAAATCCCTTCTTCCCTCACCACCACCACCACCCCACACACATTTTCCCCTATTATTAACAATTTGCATTAGTTTGGCACAGTTGTTCCAATCAATGAGCCAATATTTGACACACCATTATCACTCAAAGTCCATAGTTTACATCAGGGTTCATTCTTTATACTGCACATTCTATGGGTTTTGACAAGTGTACCATGGCACATATCCCCCTCTATAGTATACAAAACAGTTTCACTGCCCTAAAAATCCTCTGTCCTTTATCTATTCATCTCTCCCTCCCCTAACCCCTGACAACCATTGATCTTTTTAATGTCCTCATAATTTTGTCTCTTCCAGAATGTCTTATAGTTGGGAACGAATAGTATGTAGCCTTTTCAGATTGGCTTCTTTCACTTACCAATATGCATTTATGTTTCTTTCATGTCTTTTCATAGTTTTATAGCATTTTGTTTTATTGCCAACCTGCTAATTTTATTTTTTAAATCCAGCATAATATTTAAACTGAAATGCCACTTTTAAATCCACAACTAAAGGGTCCATATATGACTCATCTTGTACAACTTAGAGGGCCTGGTAAGGAGGAGACCCACACAGAACACTTACCAAGAAAATTCATTCTGGCACTGAAACTCTCCACTTTAGGACAAGCCTCAAGAAAGTTCTCTGATAGGGATGAAATGTGGTTCTTACTAAGGTTTAAAATCTTCAGTTCCTTCAGTCTCAAGGGGGAGCATATCCCTGATATTTTATTTCTAGTCACAAGAGACAAGATAATGATTAAATTGCATAAATTCATATGCTTTAAAGAAAAAATATCAAAAACAATTTGCTTTCAAAGAACAGCATCAAAGAGGACTCATTAATTTAAAAATTAGTTGTAAAAATGTAAGTCAGTTGATAAAAGTTGTAATATTCATTGCCTCGGTCTTTTATTATATATATAATAAGTATTATATATAGTATATATATAATAAGTATTATATATAGTATATATATAATATATAGGTATTATATATAATAAATATATATAATATATGTATTATATATTATAATACATATATTATATATATATATATATATATTTCTTTGAGACAGAGTCTCGCCTCTGTCACCCAGGCTGGAGTGCAATGGCACGATCTCGGCTCACTGCGACCTCCGCCTCCTGGGTTCAAGCGATTCTCATGCCTCAGCCTCTGAGTAGCTGGGATTATAAGGTGCGCACCACCACGCTGGGCTAATTTTTGTATTTTTAGTAGAGATGGAGTTTCACCATGTTGTTAAAACTCATTGCTATAAAAATGTCAGCATATTTTGTTAACATCAGCATATTTAGGCAACCCTTTTATTTTTAATGAGCTCTTTCTTACCCTTCTAAAATGAGCTGCTCCAGTTTCTCTACCACATCAGTGAGGTTCTCAGGTACAAAAGACAGCTGGTTATATGACAGGTTAAACTGTTTCAGAGTTGGACATTTCACTGTAGGATCTAAAACCACTGAGGGTCCAATGTCATTTCGAGAGACATCAAGATTAGCAATACAACTCATTTTCAACAAATAAGAAGGAAATGATGTAAATTTATTACTGTGCAAGTCCAAATGTGTCAAACTCTTCAGAGTCTGAAAAGACAATAGTTTAAAATTCTAAAGTGAACCATCTGAGGAACTTAAGTCTAGCTAATATTTCTGCCTTACACACCTCTGGTAACTAGAACCATCAAGAATTTTCAAAAAGTTGAAAACACAATCCACAACAGAATTTCAGTATACTAATTGGCCCAATCGTCTCTGCTTGTAGCATGGGTAAAACCAGGAAAATTACAACAGGTAGATTGTAAAAAGCAGGTTCACAAAAATAGAGTTGAAAGCTTCCTTCAGCTTTTTTGTAAATTATTTCCAGAAAGAGCAAAATGGAAGCAGAATACGCCTCAACAAATATTTGAATTAATGATTTAACAAAAAGTACAATATAATCCTGGGAATATGTTTTAAATGCTGTCAGAAATTTTACATATTTTGATATATTTAAGATTTAACTATAAAAATAGTTACTTATAATGTGTTTCATTTTAGAACCTCCTGTTTTTTACGAAACTTTTTGTTTCAAATTTCTACTTTCTATTTTTAAGCAATTTCTAATTTTATAATGATAATAGCAAACCCCTACTTACACATTATGTCAATTTTTTAAAACTTAGGTACGTAATACTCTCAAAGAGCTAAAATACCAAAATCAATCACTTCTCTATGGTCTTCTTTATTTATCAATATATTTATCCACACGAGAAACTCTAGAGTTTGATATCATTATAGAGGCTTATTAACCACTCTTAGCCCCAGAAGTTGTTTCAAAATTCCTGCTTTTGTTTCAGACCCTCATTAACTTATTCTGAAGTAAAGATTTTAAAATTATTCCCAAGGTTTAATCAGGAAATGTTCCTATAAAAGGAACATAGATGAGACCCTTTGACAATAACAAACAAACAAACAAAGTGCCATCTAATGGTGTCATTTTGAAATTTCCCTAAGAGAAGGTTCTGAGCTTGTCCAGTCATTGAATGCCGGCATGTCTCACCTTGTCACAGTCTCTTCCAATTCTCTTTGTTTTAACTAGACTAAATCCCAAAATTATTTTGCTTGCTCATTTAACAAATATTAATTGAAGGATTACCAAGTTTCAGACATTTATTCCTCCACAAATCAATTCAGTAAGTACTAAACTTCTACCATATGTCAGATCTCACTAGGCACTGGGAATAGACAGAAACAAGCCTGAAACAAGTCCTGTCCTCAAAGAGTTCACAGTCTAGTGGGGGCAAAGGTATTTTAAATCAAATTGGATGACCGAATGAGAATTAGGTGGAAAGCATCAGGTGTTATGGACATGGAGGCTAGGTGGGTAGGTTGGCTGGAGGGTAGAAGGAAAAAGGAAGAGAAGCAGAGAGTGATGAAGTGACAGTTAAATTGAGCCCTGGGTGGCTTGAAGTATTTAGCAAGGCAAAGAAGTGGAGAAGAGAGAAAGACACATTTTAGACATTAGGGCATGGCTGGAGGAGTGGGTCACCTTTCTTTCTTCTCTCTGTCTCCAGATATAAAAACTTTAGAGAAAAAACATCCCTTAAATATACTTAAAATTTATGTAATGTTGCCTTTAAAACATCTCAAAATTATGATTAATTTTTTAGGCTTAAAAAGGGGGAAATGCATTTGCAACAAGACTTTTTTTTTTTTGAGACAGGGTCTCACTCTGTTGCCCAGGCTAGAGTACAGTGGTGCGATCTTGGCTCACTGCAACCTCTGCCTCCCAGGATCAGGCAATCCTCCCACCTCAGCATCCCAAGTAGCTGGGACCACAGGTGCACCCCACCACACCTGGCTAATTTTTCATATTTTTGGTAGAGACAGGATTTTGCTGATGCTTAAGCTGGTCTTGAACTCCTGAACTCAAAAAGATCCACCCGCCTCAGCCTCCCAAAGTGCTGGGATTATAGGCATGAGTCACCATGCCCAGCCTTGAGAATTTAACAATTTAAACATTTGCATTAAAATAATTTTAACTTTTATGATATCTTCTTTGGCTTTCAAAACTATTTTGATCTGTAGTACATACAAATGGTGAGCAAAGTCAATTTTCAGAGAGCTATCCTATCAACAAACTATGTTATACTTTAATTCTTACAAGACAGGAACTTTGACCAAAAAGAAAAAAATCTTTAAGTTACACATTATTTTAAACTGAAAAAAAAACTTTCAGTAATCATTTAGTTGAATCTCTATTTCACAGATGAGAAAATGAAGGATTAGAGCAGGCGGAGTGACATGTTCATATTGTCACACAGTTGGTAGCTGAGTCAGAGCCAGTACTACCAAACCAGGTCTAATTCTAGTTTACCTAATCTAATTTAAATTGTTGAAGTTGTCTTACTTGAATTAAATGATTAAAGTATAATCAATATACACTTGACAGACTTTAACATGTACTCCGTACAGAACCTGGAATTCCTTTCTAATCAGATCTGTTTCCATTGCCTGCCCTCAAAGATGCTCCTGAACATCACACAGACTAAGATATGTGTGCAAAAACCAGAGGCACGGGGGACTTATCACCCAGTGACACAAAAGTAGAATGTTCTTTTAAACGACTTAATTATGCAAATTAGATATAAATACAAAAGCTCTTCAAATGTCTTGAAAGTTACAAGGATAAATTAAATTTACTTCACATAGCTGTTGTGGAAAGCTCGTGAGTGCATTCTGGTGAAGCTCCAGCTTTTCAAGATGCTCCAAATGAACACTTATACAGCATTTCTGGCTTAGGGCATCAATATCTCTTAGTTCATTTGCTGAAAGGTCTAGTGATGTAATATATTCTCTCTCAGAAGCCAGAGAAGAAATGCTGTCTGAATGCCTCATATGGGATTGAAGTTTTGATGACCCTTTTGTCAAAAACAAACAAACAATGGAAATATAAGCAAATAATTTAAATTCATGTAGTAAAAGTTTAGTGAGCACCTCCTAGCAATCAGGCTTTCTTCAAGGCACTGAAGATTCAGTAGAAAACCAAACTATGGAGTTTACATTCCAGTGGCAGAGATGAACAGTAAATAAAAAGCATTTAATCAGGTGGTGTAAGTGGTGTGAAAAAAAAAAGAAAGAAAGAAAACTGGAGGAGAGGATGAAGAGTGGCCTTGGTGGAGGTGTTATTTACATTTCAGAAAACTTGTAAAAAAAAAGACTAATGTGTTCTATAATATTCAAGAAAGGTAAATTTTTAAATGTATGTTTCATTTTTCTATAGCTTATGGAAGGAATCATTAGGTAAATATATATGAAGATTATGTAAGATGAAACTGGCACCAAGAATATTTGAATAATTGGAGGAAATTCAACCAAACACTGCATTCTGCCCAAAATATCTATTTACTTATGATTACATCCAAATACTTACTGAGTGAATCATCTGAAGATAATATTTTTCTTTTTCGCTTCAGTAAATCTTCATGATCAAAAATGGGCCCCTATTAAAAAATAATTTATAATAAAATTGCTGTCATTTATTGGAGAAGAGGACATTTTTATAAGGAAGGAACCATGAAATTTTAATAGGGTTAATGGTATTTATAATTATGGGAAAAAATAGGCAAGTAAAAACTAAGAACCCAATTATGAGGATAAAAGAAAACTCCAGTTCAGTGCTCAAATGACCTTAGAAAGCATCTACTCTTTCTCCTTTGTTTTAAATATAAGGAAACTGAAAAACAGAAAGGTTGAGTGAAAAAGCTATATCCATATAATTTCTCATTAACCAAACTACTTTTTATAACTAAATTTATATATAAATTCGAAAGAGCATATAAAGACTGACAGCTAATTTAACCGATTCAACTACAGTCATTCATTTCACCCATCTTAAGATCTAGAATTAACACAAAACAACCCTCATATTTTTAGTACTCAGCTATAATCAAAATTGGAGAATAGGTTAGAACAGGTCTTTCAAAGTGAACCTGAGAATAAGGTGGCTCCCAATTTCCTCAACTAGAATTATCAGACTCCTCATGCAAATATGCCATAGTCCTTCCATAGTTCCAAAACAGACAAGAGGTTGAAATAATAATAAAGGTATCTAAAAAATTAAATGACTTTCAATACACCAAAATAGATAGATGATTGATAGATAGATGATAGATAGATAGATAGATAGATAGATAGATAGATAGATAGATAGATGATAGATAGATAGATGAACAATGAATTATATTATGCTACTCCATCTTGTTCAGTGTCCTTCAGACTTCTGTCTGGTTTCTTAGAAATCACTATCAGATTTCTAGCTAAAGTGTTCATGGGACCAACCCACACCATTAGGTAGAGGTCTAGCCTGGGCTCTTTTCAGACATGGAGTTCTGAAAAGAAAGAAGAAAACCATCTTGAAGTGTACTGTAAGTATATATATATATATATATGTGCCCCAAAAAATTCATACCCTGCATACTCAAAAGACTACAAATGTGAATTGAGCATAATTTACATCTAATATGTTTTCATATCTATTACATATATAAAAATCTCAAAATTATAGTTTTCATACATCAGGGAAATCCCTACCAATTGTTCCTAGCTTTGGCATAAATTTTAGTTATCAAGAGAATGTCAGCAGCAAAACACAACATAATCACAATTGCACAATTTAACTTACCAAGGAATTGGAATGTCTTTGCAAATTTGGTGAGCAACGCTGTAATACGGCATCTCGGTAAAATTCTCCTACACTAATTGAATTAGATTTCTTTTTCACAAGAAATGAGCCTTCACTTCCTATTTTGAAAATGATAAAATAACATGAAGGTGAATACAAAAAGCTTACTCAATCATAAGATCCTTCTATCATAGTTCAATCATGGAAGATTAGACCTATTTTTATTAATGGAAATTTCACAGTCCATTCCCTTTGTAAAATCTTTAAAATAGAGATGATAAGCCATGTTGGTTTTTCACTTTAAAAATTCAACAACATTTTTCTTCACCCATAAATATTTATAGAATGGCTGTTACAGACTAGACACTGGGTAAGCACGGGATACTGATATGCAGAAAAAAAATAAATCTATTCCTCAGAGGAGCTCATAGTCCAGCAGGAAAAAGCCAAATCAATCAACGGTTACATAAGTTATAACAAATATATGTGTGTGCAGAAAGTTTGTATGCAATCTGATCACTGTTACTGCTTTCTGTTTCTCTGAATTTTTTTTATGGAGACCGCTGGAATAGGGTCTAGCAGCATAGGAAAGAGAGTGGATTAACTCCCTGAATTTTTCTTATAAATTTTTCAAATCTTGCTTTAAATGTTGTAATCACACAAATTATTTAACAGTCAGCAATTTTTAATAAATTTCTATTTGAATTTCATGTTTCATGGTTTCTTTTATGGAATGGTATTAAAATAAACACAATAAATTTGGCTGGCAATAATTGTTTTATAAAATAAGGAAAAGGCAGTACTTTCAAAATAATAAATTTACAAGAAAACAAAGATCAATAAAAAAATCATATTAAAGATAAATAATGTGAATGCATTTGTGAAAAATTAATTATGATTTTAAATTCCCCTACTCTTTATCTTAGAAAAAGAAAGAATTCATTTTATGTCAAAACCAAATTATAAAATCTGTATATCCAAATACCACCCTTATAATATTCAGTATAAATCCTGATATAAACAGTTCCTGCCTGGTTCATTGCTAAAGTTTAATTAATTCTATAGTTTAAATTATTTTAATGCTTAAGAATTTTAATAAAATATAATTTATAATTTAGTAACAATTACATAATTATAAAGATTATTAAATTATCATAATTATCCCACTTTATATGTGTGTGAAATGTCTATTAGCACATTATTTGTACAAGCAGCATAGTGCATTTTATAATTATTTTATGTTAAAATTTCTAATGTTTTCTTGAAAAATACTTGAAGAGAGTTCTTTCAGGCATGATAGAGTAACAAATGTGAACTTAACCTACTCACATAAACAACAAGAAAACTGGATAAATATATTAAATGACTGGATACAGACACTGGGCAACAGACAGCATAGGACTATGTAATACCCGAAAGAAGGGAAACAAATTATGTGAGCCCTATGATCACTCTGGCCTTCTGCTTAGAGACAAATTAAGGGCCATATACATAAGAAGAAATTTAAACAGTCTCATGGCTTTCCTGAGATGAGGAGATAGAGATCAACATTTATGGAGACTGAGATAGCTGGGAGTTCTGGGGCAGTTATGGAAAAAGTGCTCCAGTAATCTGCATATGGGTTTCTGGAAGATCTGCGCTAGAAATGTAAAAGGGAATTCTTCCAGAGGAAGAAAATGATACTAACTGCAAACTTAGATTAATATAAAGTGGTTACTTTATTTAAAAAATTATTTTTATATATAGTCCTTTGTTATATAGTCCTTAATGTTTGCACAACAAACAACAGAGCTTCAAAATATACAAAGCATAAACAGATAAAACTGAAAAGGCAACCAACAAATCCTCAATTACAACTTCAATATTTCTCTATCAAATACAATAAATAGAAAGAAAAGTCAGTGAAGTCACAGAAAACTTGAGAAATCCTACCAAACAATTTGGCCTATTGATTTGACCCAATAACAGCTGAATATACTTTCTTTTCAGTTGCACATGGCACATCACCAAGACAGACCATATGATAATCCATAAAGCATGTTTCAATAAATATAAAAGGATAGAAATCATCAGAGTAGGTTATCTGAGCACAAAAAAGTCAAACTGAAACCAATAACCAGAAAGTTATCCAGAAAATCTCCAAATATTTGGAAAATAAATGACAGCCTTCTAAATAACTCGTGAATCAAAGAAGTCACAAAGGAAATTAAATTTATATATATATATATATATTTTATTATACTTTAAGTTCTAGGGTACACATGCACAACATGCAGGTTTGTTACATATGTATACATGTGCCATGCTGGTGTGCTGCACCCATTAACTCCTCATTTACATTAGGTGTATCTCCTAATGCTATCCCTCCCCCTTCCCCCCACCCCACAACAGGCCCTGGTGTGTGATGTTCCCCTTCCTGTGTCCAAGTGTTCTCATTGTTCAATTCCCACCTATGAGTGAGAACATGCGGTGTTTGGTTTTTTGTCCTTGCAATAGTTTGCTGAGAACGATGGTTTCCAGCTTCATCCATGTCCCTACAAAGGACATGAACTCATCATTTTTTATGGCTGCATAGTATTCCATGGTGTACATGTGCCACATTTTCTTAATCCAGTCTATCATTGTTGGACATTTGGGAAATTAAATTTTTTTAAATGAATAGAAAGAGGACACATCAAAATATTGGGATGCAGTGAAAGTGATATTTATAAGGACATATACAGCCTTAAATAAATGTTTCTGTTACAAAATAAGAAGGTTCTAAAAACCAGTGTTCTAAGCTTCCAAATTAAGAATCTATAAAAAGAGTCAATTAAAATAAAAATAAGTAAGGAAAAGGGAACAATAAAGATAAGAACAAAAGTCCGTGAGAAAGTAACACAAACAATAGAGAAAATCAATATAACAAAAATCTGATTCTTTGAAGAGATTAACAGGATAATTAAATCACTAACAGGATAATTAAATAATTGCTATAAGTAACATTAAACAAATAAATTTGGCAACTTATATGAAATGGGCATATTCCTTGAAAGTTACACATTACTAAAACTGACTTAAGAAGTAAAAGAAAATTAAAATAATCATACATCTATCAAAGTTATTAAATTCATAATTCTAAATCTCCTCCTCACAAAAATTTAAAACCTAGATGGCCTTTGCTGGTGAAGTCTATCAGACATTTAAGAAGAAAATACCTTTACACAAATTCTTCCAGAAAATTGTGGAATGGGAAACACTTCCCAATTCATTTCAAGAGGCCAGCATTACTCCCATAATTACAAGGAAGTATAAAACTACAGACTAATATCTCTCACAGATGCAAAATTCTTAACAAAATTTAGAAAACAAAATTTAATACTATATAAAAAGGATAATGTACCATAACCAAGTGAGATTTACTCCAGGAATGCAAGTTGGTTTAACATTAGAAAATCAGTCAGTGTATTTGACCATATTAACAAAATAAAGGTGAAAAATATGAATACCTCAGCAGATGCTGAAGAGCATTTTTCAACACCTATTAATGATAAAAAAAGGCTCTCCAAAAATGACTAGGAAGAAGCTTCTTCAATTTGATGAAGGGCATCTATGAAAAACTACAGATAATGTCATAATTAGTGATTAGAGACTGTATGTTTTTCCTCTAAGTTTGGAAACCAGGGAATGATGCCCAGTCTGACCAATTCTATTCAACATAGTACTGGAGGTCCTAGCCAGTGCAATAGGACAAGAAAAAAAAAGAAGACATAAATATTAGAAAAGAAAAAGCAAATCTGTCTTTATTACCAAATGGTATAATTGTGAACAAAGAAAATCCTGTAGAATCTATAATAAGGTACTGGAACACGTAAGTGAGCTTAGTAAGTTTACAGGATACAAAATTCATGTACAAATAAATGAATTATGTTTCTATATATCAACAGTGAACTACTGGAAATTAGAATTCAAATACAATACCATCTATAATAGTATCAGAAAACATCCAATACAACACACTGTTAGAAATTTTAAAAGACTAATTGAACTATATATCACATTAATATGTCAAAAGACTCATTATTAATATATTAGTTCCCTCAAATTAATTTATAGATATAATCTATATAAATTATTATTTATGTATTAATTATATATTATAGATTACATTAAAATCATAGGTAATATGATTTAATTTATAAATAAATTCTATATAAAATCTAAATATGGACTTAATTACAATAAAAATCCCAGCATAAAGTTAGTTGATTAAAAATTTATATGGAAATGCAAAGAACCTAGAATAATAAGAACAATTTTTTTTAAAAGAACACCAGAGGACTTACACTATCTGATTTCAAGAACTGCTATTAAGCTAGAGTAATCAAGACAGTGTGGTATTGGCATAAGAATAAGGTATAAATCAGTGGCACAGAATAAATAATGCTAAAATAGAACCATACCTAAATAGTCAATTAAAGAGAACAAAGCTTCCATTAATTCAATGAGGAATTATATAATATTTTCAACAAGTAATGTTGGAACAACTGGATATCCATACAGAAAGAAATAAATGTCAACTCTTCATTGACACACCACACACAAAAATCAACTTAAAATGTTTTAGACCTAAATGCCAAAGCTGAGATTTTAACACTTCTAAGAGAAAATATGGGAGAAAATATTCACAAATTTAGGCTAAGAAAAGGTTTCTTAAGTGGGATACAAAAAGCACAAACCATAAAAGAAAAAAACTGGAAAACTGCATTTCACCAAGATTTAAAACCTCTGTTTTGTTAAAAATAGAATTAGTAAAATGAAAAGACAAGCTATGACTGGGAAAAAAATATGCAATACATATACCTGTCACAACTTCTATCTAGAATATACAAAGAACTCTTATATAATAAGACAACCCAATTAAAAGCAAAATACTTCAACACTTCACACAAAAATAAGAATGGCCAATAAGAACATGAAAACATCCTCTACATAATTAGTCATCAGGGAAATGAAAATTACATCTAAATGAATTAAACCTCCACTAGAACAGCTAAAAGTAACTTGAAAATACCAAGTACTGACAAGGATGTAGAGCAACCAGAATGCTCATGTACTGCTGGTGGGGGTAGAACATAGTACAATCATTTTGGAAAACAGACACAAAAGAGTACTCACTGTATGATCCTATGTATATAAAACTAGAGAAAACATTAATCTACATTGTCAGGAAGCAAATGATTGCTAAGGGTCAGGGGGGCCAGGGGAAGGGGATGTTTTCAGTGAAGAGGCATGAAGAAACTTTTTTGGATAATGAAAATATTGCATAACTTAATAGCGACAATGACCACATGAATATGTTAATTTTCAAAGCGCATGAAAATATATACTTAAAGTGAATGCATTTTATTTTATATAAATTATATATGTATATAAATCACTACACTTGATTTTTAAAAATGGTTTGACTTGAGACACAATATTTTGGAACAACTCTCATTTTTTGCCCTCTCAAATATCCTTATTCTATCACCCAGTGTTTTCAATCATACTATATTAATAAGAAAGCCCCTCACTCCATTTTTACCAAACTGCTAATGCTAAATACATCAGCCCTAATCATTGTCATTATATATTTCACCATATTAATTTTTTAAAAAGTTATCTCAAGTGAGCTATTAAAATATTAATATTGTTTTAAGCTATAGTAAAGATAAAAACCTTTTTTATTAAGCGCTTCCTGTTTGCCAAGCATTGTTGCAGACATTTTACATACATTTTTTCTAATTATTATGTATAACCCTGCAAAGTCGACATTACTACCTTTAACAAGGTTAAGGGGCTTACACAAGCCACGAAAGGATCTAGTCAATGACAGAGCGTGGAATCTCGTTCCAGTCTAGTCAGAGTTTGTTTCCTGGAATATTAACCATTAACCAATTAGTATAACATTTAGAAGCACAGAGACACACTTCCTTGACCCATCACTTTAACCAAAATTAGTAAACTTAACTGTTTGCGATAATAAACACATTTCTACTCAAGTTTTTCCAGATGATTTAGGTCAGGTTTTTGTCTTGGGTCCTATTGTTCAATGTCAGTGTGTAAATATAAAGCATAAAGGGTTTTTTTTTATAATAAATACCTTCACTATCCAGGTCATCACTTTGAGCAAACACACTGTCCATAGAAGAGTCAGGAATAAAGGTCCATTCATCAAATTTAGACAGCACATCTTCAGAAAAATTTCCATCGCTGCCTGAGGCTGTTCCTTCTTCCACAGCACTTTTCATCTGATATCTGATCACCATTCTTGCTAGTGTAGATGCTATATCTGAAAATAAGAGATACACCAGCAACTTAGAAATCAACAATTATGCAAAAATAAACATACATAGGACCAAAGTTCTTACGTATTGCTATGCTTCTGGAGAATATTTCTATTTTTCCTTTCAAAGTCACCTTACACTAGTGATCCTGAATAATTAACAGGTGGCAGATCATATATTTTTTAAAAAAACATAACCATGTACACAATGCTTTCATGTAGACAGCAAAACTGAATCTCTATGGAACTAACTTTATTCAGGAAAAGGCCTAGGCTTTGAAGCCAGACAGGCCTGTGTTCAAGTCATAGAAATGCCATTTGTGAGTTATATGAGCTCCCTGGGTATCAGTGTCCTCACCTGGAAAATGAAGATGATAATAAATACAGTATATGGTGATGAAAAAGAGTAATTGAAATGATGCATATAAAATGTTTAGCACAATGCATAGAACACATAAACTGCTAAATAAAGGATCTTGTTATTTTTATAAAGTTTGCTGAGTGATTCATTATGACTATTGGGAAACCTGATGGAATTTCAAAGTTAACATTCTTCTCACAACTTCATTACATTATGTATTAGCTCTACTATGAAGAATAAGTTGGCTGAGTCCTCATTGTTCTACATACAGCCAGGAAGATTTCTTCAAATATTACTACTGTAATGACTTCAAATATTACTACATGATACTGCTGTATCATGTAGTACAATATCCAGTGATGAGTTGGCTAATACAATGCTGGTTAGGCCTCCTACTGTAAAAAGGAAAATAAACCCTGGGGCTCAGAGCATGGTGGGGGATCATTTGATATTACCCCTGTGAAGTGTAGATAATCAGCTAAAAGACTTTGACAACAGTAGGAATAGCAATAATTATAGTAGCAGAGTGAAGTATGCTCATGTATCTACATCTATTCCTACTGTAAATATGTGGTGGACCCATATGATAAACCCCAAGAAGGCAACTGATACTATGGCTTACACTATACCCATATACCCAAATGGTTCCTTTTTCCAGAGTAATATGTTATGATATGGGAAATTATCCCGAAGCCCGGTAGGATGAGCTCACACACAAATATGTCACTTAGGCAAATACTACCTGAAAAATGTTTGAAAGCTATGACCCAAAGTGTTCTTTACTCAGACCAGCTGCCAGTGAAATCATGGTTATACCCTCCAATTAATCAAATGACAATTCTATGTTTTTTTAACTGGGTAAGATGTGTCAATGGTAAAAACTCCAGACAGAACAAAGAGAATATAGTGAATGATAAATCTCCCTCTGTCCCTCTCCAATGGGCCCACAATTCCTCTCCATCGGATATTGAAGATTAAAGTAAGCAGGTTTTTGGCATAAGACTAGTTTAAGTAATGAAACATGGGATCTAACCATGTCTCAGTAATTTCCAAAGACCCAGAGACAACCAGGGAACCCATTTCTGGAGGGTTTTATTTCATATTCAAACTTTTATAACTATCATATTCCAGTTGCATTTTCATCAACATTAGCATAGTAAAAACACTGTCTGTGCCCTTTTTTTTGCCACGGAGTAATGTAATCTTTATCAGGACATTAAATTTGCTCCACGTTTTTTTTTCCTCAATGATTGCAAAGCATTCCACAACATGTATGTACCATTATTTATTTGAATAGTTCCTTTTGGGGAATACTTAGGTTTTTTTCCTACTCTTTTGCTATTATAAACAATGTTTTAATGTGCATTTTTGTACATAATTTTTGTGCACATTGAGAATGTCTGTATCATAGATTCCTAACAGTACATTGTGAGGTCAAAAAAGTATGTACATATATTAAAAATATTAGTAGATATTGCCAAATTGTCCTCAAAAGAGGACAATTTAAATTCATATCAATATATGAAGCATGTTTCCACACATGCTTATCAACATAATGTATTACACAATTTTTATTTTTTGCCAATATTGAATACTTAATTCTAAATGATAATCTACTATGTGCAAAACACTAGTATCAATGGTAAGGTTACAACCATGAACAAAATTGACATTGACTTCATGGTACTAACAATTTACCAAAAAGTAGATTATAAAAATGAAAAATTAAATTATATAATGTGGTGAATGGTAGTATATGTGAGAAATAAAGTGCTATAGGGTCATGTAAGAGAACCTTCCAGACTGGTGATAGCACTGAGACAGGAAGAATGAAGAGACAGCCAGGTGAAGAGAGAATTTAGAGCTAGGTAGAGAGAGAGTAACACTGGAAAAAGACTGGAAGTAAGGGTACACGAAGTGTTTGAGAAACCGAGGAAAATTCAGCCTGATTGGAACTTTTGGAGCCTACTGAGCGGTTGGAAACCTTGATGTATAAAGGCACCAAATTGCATGGATGGGTACTTTTCTCTAGCAGCACTCAGTTTTCTTGGTGAAACTGAGGGAAAAAGTAGACTGGTAGACTGACCAAAACTGGTGTTTTGCTAGTGAGTGCATCATAAAAATGAGAGAAGCAAACATGTTACTTGCAAGATGGTCCTTAAGGTGTTGATTCATGGAGTTTGATGACCATGGGGAAGGAGATGGGCATGGGACTAAGTTAACACAGGGAAAGCTGGGAGCTTTCACGCTAAAAACACATTTAGTGTGAACAAATGAGAGAGCTCAAAAGATAAAAATAGTGTCAGAAGATGGTAACTTACCATCAATACACATAATATGTACAAAATACACATGAGCTTGAAAGTATAAAGAAAATGCATTATCAATTGAAATATAAAGTATATTCTAAGTTAAAAATGCCAAATAAATATGTGTGTATGCTTTTACATACATTTGAATGCATAGGTACATGTAAGCATATAAAAAGTTAGGAAAAATATCCATATTAATTACTTATAAGAGATAAAATAAGTTATTTTTATTTTCTTTTTTATAATTTTATATTTCCTTTAAAAACAGGGATATCTTACTTTAATAATAAAAAATATATATTAAAAAGTACCCCTTCAAAAAGCTTCCACTATTTTGCTCTATTTTTATAAATAACTATTTGCTATCTCATAAAGAACTTAAATGTCATTTTGAAGTATTTCATAGCCAAAAAAAAAAAAAATCCAAACCTTTGCAATATCTTTGGCTTAAGGTCCCTCAAACTGGCATGAATAACCACTAAAAGACTAGTGACTTAAAAAAATACTATTAAAAATAAGAATTGTAAAAAATATTCTCCTTGTTACTTACTTGTTTGTTTCCTTAAATTAGAAGTCTTATCTGGAAATAAAGGACCAAGCCAAGAAGGTTCAACTTTTCCTATACAAAATCCTCCAAGGCAAATGCTATTGTTGGCCACATCCAGGGCCAGCCTCCTTAAGAGCAAGCTGATGATCTGGCTGTCACCTTTCCCAATGCTTATCGTCAACGCTTTTCGTACATCTTGTTCACGAGATCCACTATTCAGTAAGAGTTCCACCAATTTGGGACTGCTCTCTTTCTCACATACCTATTAAAGAAAAAAAATTAAGTATATTAAAAATCTACATTTTTCTTCCTTTTAGGAGACTGGCAAATCAAACTTCATGTGATTTTTCTCTACATCTCCAATTTGGAATGAAACAAAATAAAATAAGGCAAAACTGATCCTTGAATAGATTGGGAAAATAAGATGATATTAATGCCATCAATGTCAGAATAGCATGAATAATCTGCCACATGACAGTCAGTTATTATGAAAGAGACAACATTATATGGAGACAAAGCTCCACAGGCTTGGCATCAAGATCTCTGTTTACATCCAGACTCCACCAAATATGCACATTGCTTACACTTTCTGAGCTTCTGTCTTCTCACTGTAAGATACCTGGGAAACCAGTACCTTAACACAGTAAATACTACTGTCCTGCCTTTATTTGTGACATAGAATAACTAAATGGGGACATAGCTATTGTAAAATTTATTAATGCCACACACAAACGACAGTCATTACTCGTGTCTAGCTTTCCTGAGCTCCTCAAGACAAGCATCTGAATTTCCTCAAAGATATACCTTGTCTCTCAGTCTTCAACCTTCCTCTAAATGTTATGTTTTCAGAGCATGTGTTCAGGGTGGGTTAGCATGTGAGGTGCCACAAAAACTAGAACAACTCAGCAATCCAGGAGAAGCCTTAGCAAGCTGTGGCACTGCATGCTGGCCCTACTCAGGAAGAGCTATGGAAAGGAGCTAGACGCTAGCAAGGAGCTATCAACTAGAAGACCAAGATAACAGGTAATAGAAATAATATCCATCAGTTACTGTGCTAAATTCTGTACACACATGATTTCTAATCTTTTTTTTAAAAAAATCCTATGCCATAGCAATTATTACTCCCATTTTATAGATGAGTATTTAGAAAAGATATATAATTTGTCCCTTACAGCTAGCAAGCAACTGAGACTTGGATTTGAAGCCAAATCTGCTGGCTTCAAAACCTGTGTGACTTTCATTACCCAAAATAAAACATCAAAAAAGGAAAGAAAAGAAGACCCAAAGATCCAGGGTACCAACTCAGAGGAAAAAGATGTTGGGGACAATTTTTGAATTTTCTAGAATTAAAGTGTTTCCAAGGGATTTGAGGGGACATTCATTTATGTGGTTGGAAGGCACCAATTAAATGCCCACCAGTCTCCAAGTACGCCCACCTTCAACCCATCCTCAAAGCACTACAGAGCTCTGATCAAGTCACCATCGTCTTTAAAAACCTTCTAAAACGCTGCTGCTCCAGGACATTCTTCCAAACACAGCATGTAATTTTTCAAACCTCATTACCTTTTATGCTATTTCTATTACCCCAAATGCCTTCCTCTACTTTTCACCCAGCAAAAAGGTGTTCATTCTTGAAGAATTGGCTTCAAACTTTCTTGCAGAGAAGTCCTTGCTACTAACCTCTCAGGCCAAACACACCATTTCTCCTCCCGGCTCCCATCCATTTCATTTAATGTAGCACTGAGCAAACATACATACCCATCTGTTTTCTTGCTAGAATGCAAAGGGCTTTACATTACTGCAATCCAACTTGTATTCCTGAAGCCTAGCACAACATCTAGCAAATATATTTAATTTAAGTAGCAAATTACTAAAATCCTCTTTAAGGGCTCATAGCAAAATTAAAAGGAAGGCAGGTGGAAGAGGAAGGAAGGAAGGAAGGAAGGAGAAGGGGAAGGGGAAGAGGAAGGGGAAGGGGAAGAGAAAGGAGAAGGGAGGGGAGGGGAGGGGAGGGGAGGGGAGGGAAGAGAAGGGGAGGGGAGGGAAGAGAAGGGAAGGGAAGGGAAGGGAAGGGAAGGGAAGGGAAGGGAAGGGAAGGGAAGGGAAGGGAAGGGAAGGGAAGGGAAGCGGGGAGGGAGGGAAAAACTCACAAATGCCTTCTCTTATAGCCCAGTAACTTTTTTTTCTCTAAGATATGCCATTCACTCCTTACTTTGTACTAAGGTGATTTATGTTTTACTCTCTTGTCAATGCCCTACACATACAGACCTACAAACCATCTTGAAACAGGAAACCCATTTTATATTCTCTATTAATTATCTAGCACTGTGTGCTGCACATGTTTGTGGAAGGAATTTTCCTTGGAGGATCCAAACTATCCAAGCTGACTTTAGGCATATGGTGCCATGAAGAGAGACATATATGAGAAAGTGAATCTGATAAAATAAATAAATGCCAGCAAAAATAAGAATTAATTTCTTTAAATCCTACAGAGTCATTCTCTTTAGAATATTCACACATATTTATGAAAGTAATTTCAGCTTCATGACAGGAAAATACTACTGCTCACAGATATTTATTTTTACATTTAAATAATAATGAAGAAAATTAAGAATATAACTAAAGATTATCAAAAGCATAATTTCTTATCCCTGCAATCTTTCTCTGATCATCTAATTTATAATAAATGCAGTGCATTATCAAAACCAAATTATTCAAACTGTTATTTTAGAGAAAATGAACACCACTACCACCACTACCATGAATCTGCTGTGTAGCCAAGAAATTAAAGCAGGCACTGTGGAGGCAGATTTCACACTGTTACCAGGAGCTTGTTCTTAGGCAAGTTATTTAAACCCTCAGTGCCTCAGCTTCTCACTTGCACAATGGGAATAACATTAGAACCTACTGGACCTTTTCGTAGGTTGTCGTAAGGATTAAATTGTGTAAAGTATTTGGAGCAGTGCCCAGGTGGTAATGAGCATGATAGAAGTGTTTGGTTTTGTTGGTTTTTTGTTTGTTTGTTTTGTTGGTTGGTTGGTTGGTTCGTTTTTTGTTTTTTTTTTTTTTGAGACGGAGTCTCACTCTGTCGCCCAGGCTGCAGTGCAGTGGCGCGATCTAGGCTCACTGCAAGCTCCGCCTTCCAGGTTCACGCCATTCTCCTGCCTCAGCCTCCCAAGTAGCTGGGACTACAGGCACCTGCCACCACGCCTGGCTAATTTTTTGTATTTTTTTAGTAGAAACAAGGTTTCACCGGGTTAGCCAGGATGGTCTCGATCTCCTGACCTCATGATCCACCCACCTCGGCCTCCCAAAGTGCTGGGATTACAGGCGTGAGCCACCGCACCCGACCGGTTGGTTTTGAGACAGAGTCTCCCTCTGTCACCAAGGCTGCTGTACAGTGGCACAATCTTAGCTCCTGCAGCCTTGACCTCCTAGGCTCAAGTGATCCTCCCACCTCAGCCTTATTATATTATTTTATTTTATTTTATTTTATTTTATTTTATTTTATTTTAACAGGGTCTGGCTCTGTTGCCTAGGCTGGAGTGCAATGGTGCAATCTCAGCTAACTGCAGCCTCAACCTCCCAGGCTCAAGTCATCCTCCCACCTCAGACTCCCAAGTAGCTGGGACTATAAGCAGGTACCACCATACCCAGCTAATTTTTTGACTTTTTGTAGACATGGGGGTCTAACTATGTTGCCCAGGCTGGTCTTGAACTCCTGGGCTCAAATGATCCTCCCGCCTTGACTTCCCAAAGCCCTGGGATTACAGGCATGAGCCACCCTGCATGAAGCTAGGACTACATGTGTGTGCCATCATACATGGTTTTTTGCTTGTTGGTTTGTTTTGTAGAAATGGAGTCTCACTATGTTTCTCAAGTTGGTCTCGAACTCCTGGCTCAAGTGATCCTCCCACCTCAACATCCCAAAGTGTTGGGATTACAGATGTGAGCCACCATGCCCAGCCTCTTATTATTTTTATTCAGACTTCACTATACTTTTTCCACTGTGATTTGATGAGTTTTACCTTGAGGTTTTTATCCATGCATTTGCATACCCAGTATTAAACTTCCATATTCTTCTCTACCAATCATGTACATTCCATTATCAAATTCTCTGCAGAAAGTCTAACACAACTCCACCCTTGCTCTAGATAGTCCTTCAATATGTAACCTCTTGGTAAATGAATAAATAGTCCTGATTACCTTATTTTGCTCTGGCACAAATAAGGTACATACGACAAACTCATCCACAAGATTTAATCAGCAGTTATTGTTTGCTAGATATAAATAACCTCTGACAACTGGGATAAATTCTTTAAACCTAATACATAATCCTTGGATTTAAGATTTCGTTTTAAAAAGAAAAGATAAAACTAAGCATATGAAGTCCAAAAGAATATGGAAAGAGGAATAAAGTAAAAATCCTGTTGGGTAGAAAGATTTGGATAAATTGAAAGAATAGTAGAAATGATTTCCTGTGGGGAATGTAGTACAGTTGTATCAGGTGCTTTTAGGTATGTTGTTTCCTTAATGTGGACTTAGAAGGGGAAGTTTCTTTTTAGTTCTTCGGTATTTTCAATTAAAATTAATGCAATAATCTGCATGCAAAAGATGCACAGTAAAAATGTATTAAATTATTGATGGAAAAATTTAATTATCTTTAGTAAAGCGGAGCAACTATTTTAATTGTTGCTTGCTTAAAAGAAATTTGACTAAATTTAAATAATTAGATTGTTTATGTGATTTTAATTCATAAACGTAATGCATGAAAATGGGTTACAAATTCTTTTTCTTTTTATGTTGATTACTAATTAGTATTAACTTAATCTTAACAGTCAACAAATTGATTTCAATCCATAGGCAAGTGGGATATTAAATACAGTAGGGATATTAAATACAGTAAGGTTTAAAAAGTAAACTATTGGCAAACATAGTACTTTATTGATTATTTAATAATGTGTATTAAATCACTACATAATTGCTTTGTTAGAAATATTAAATTTCTAGAAAATAGACATAGTGCTACCTGAATGCTAGTATAAACTCTAACACTTATACAAATAATACAAATCTGAAATATAAGCAATGAACCTAGTATTTATTGAATACACACCATATGTAAAGCAATGAGCTCGATATTCTGAATGATACAAAGATGAACACTGTACACTGTTATTTTCACACAACTCACCAAGTATACAAGAGATATGTATATATTTTCATAGACTGACAAAAGAAGTAAATCTTAATTTTGTTTGGAGGTTTGGAGGTATGGGGAGGGCTTTAAAGAAAGATAATTTGAATTATATTTTGAAGGGAGAGCAGAACAATCAGATAGATATATGTTTACATGGTTCAGGAGGGAAGAGAGAAGGAAAGAAAGACCAGTGTTACACAACTTTGGCCAACAGCAACTCATGTCACTGTGAATGGCACCGACAAAAGTGTGCCATCCACAGCCTGCATAGCCATGTGTGGTAGCCCTCAGGGGAGAACTTTCTAGGCAAAGAAACTAAAACCATGGAAAAAAATGGTTAAAAAATTATCAAAACATTAGAACTATGTGTTATGTGGAGTGTATCTGGAGACTAAGTTGTAGAGATGCCTACTAAGGGACACATTTGAAAAGTTATTTATCAACTTAACAAGATAAGTAAACAGATGAAATGAAAGATTAGACTGGATAACACCTAAAGGACCCTATTACTTCTGGAATTCTATAAATCTACTACAAGACACAAACAATTGCAATAAACTGGTAAATTTCTGTAGTGAAGAATAATATGATATAAGTAAGAGATACACAATGGCAGGGCTCTTACATTCTATAAGAATACTGAGCAAAGACAAAAGTGAGGCCTTGAATATTTACCTGACAAATTAAAGAAGATCCCTCCTTTGCTTGATTGGCATCTGCTCCCAATAGAAGCAAGCATTCAACCATGATGCTGTTATTCTGATCACACGCTCTCTCTAGCATCACATTTTTTAAGTAATCATCCATAGCTACTTTTGCAAAACACTTGCAACAGAGGTTTAGAAACTAAAAAGAGTGGAAATGAGAATTAGAGTCAGATAAATACATAACATTTAGGATGCAAGTGAAAAACACTGTACCTGTTGATCCTTTTGTTCCATGATATTGGAAGACATTTGATGGAATATTACTAAGTCAAATGAATGATGCACCAGCAGCTTAGAAAAAGATGCTGACAATTTGAGGATTGCTAAGATTGTCTGAAATCCCTAAAAGTATAAGAAAAAAAATAATAAAATAAGCAATTACAGGCAAAATGAATAAACAGTATAAAGCAGAGAGAGTTTGTATATGAAACAATACCTAGGATGTTCATTTAACTATAGATATATTGGGTTGGTGCTTTAAAGTATTTATCCTGTAAATAAATACTCCCTCTCTCTCTCATGACTAAGAAATATAGCAGGCACAGAGAATAAAATGCTAGTTAACAAACCATTCAGTAGCAAAGCAGGAAAAAGAACTAATACCCTCAAATTTGGTTTTCAAAGATGCTTGTCTAAAGCCATAGTTATAGGATGAAACCCAGATATTAAACAGGATTAAAGCGGTTGGATCAGCAGAACTACACATCCAAACAGGTCAATAGAGTAAAAATTTGTATTATAATATTGAACAGTAGGTTCTCTAGAGAGCCTAGCATATCCCCCAGCTTTTTGCGCTGTCTTCCGAAATGTTTATCTCAGAAAGGCTAGTGTGGACTCCTAGATTTCATTTATGTTGAGTGTAGTTGAGAAGCGCTGAGGGCACTCTGAGGATTACATTCTAATAATAAGTTATTTATAAAGAACACCGTTACTTTTTTAGAACCACCTTAAGCACATCCCCAGAGTCTGTCCTCTTCACTCATGTGATGTTTTAATGAAAGATTGGGCTTTTGACTTTAGTATTATTTAGGTTGGGTAAAGCCACCAAGGATCATCTTAACTTTTTAATGTTTTATTACCTCTAATATTACATATTAATAAAATTGGCTAGACACCATGGCTCACACCTGTAATCTCAGCACTGTGGGATTGCTTGAGCCCAGGAATTCAAGACCAGCCTGCACAATATGGCAAAATCTTGTGCCTATAAAAAATATTTTAAAATTACCCGTGCATGCACCTGTAGTCCCAGCTACTCAGGAGGCTGAGGTGGATCACTTGAGCCCACCCAGGAGGATGGGCCCAGGAGGCAGAGGTTGCAGTGAACCGAGATTGTGCCACTGCACTCTAGCCTGGGCCATAGAGTGAGACCCCATCTCAAAAAAATTTTAAATTAACTTACGTCATCTAAATATTAAAATTATTACTTCGAACTCTTATGATGCTGAGTATCTACGAATACTAATATTTGATAAGCAAAGTAGCCTTAATTTATGTATGTCTGAGGGACAGGTGATCCACCTGCCTCTAGAGCAGAGGTCTCTGAAAACAAGTGAATGCTACAGCAGAGCAGGCCATGCAAATGTGCAGAAAGTACGTCATTCGAATTAAAAACTTTTAAACACTGAACTGAAGGCCGGGTGCAGTGGCTCATGCCTGTAATCCCAACACTTTGGGAGTCCGAGGTGAGTGAATCACTTGAGGTCAGGAGTTTGAGACCAGCCTGGCCAACACGGCGAAACCCCATCTCAGCTAAAAATACAAACATTAGCTGAGCATGGTGGTGCATACTTGTAGTCCTAGCTACTAGGGAGGCTGAGGCAGGAGAATTGCTTGAACCCAGGAGGCGGAGGGTGATGTGAGCTGAGACTGCGCCACTGCACTACAGCCTGGGCAACAGAGTGAGACTCTGTCTCAAAAAACAAAGCAAAACCCTGAACTGGACAAATAAAATATGTTGGCAGGCCAGATTTAGTTCATAAACTCTACTATAGAGATTCTAAAATTTATGCCTAGATGAATTAATCCAGAGTAACTGAGAGTTCCATACCGGCACAAAATCCTTCCCTTTCCCTAAGATTACTTTTAATCAATCCTATCTTGGTTTAATCAGCCTAGCCTGAGGCACATTATGAAAAGCAGTTATAAAACACATTGTTGTTATTAATCTAAGAATTTTGTATGTTCATAACTTTATAATTTTTTAAAAAACTTTACACATATTCTCTCATTTACTGATAATGTCTGTGCAAAGATTAGAGACCAGGTATTTTTATTCCTGGTCAATGCTGCCAGTTACAAAAAATATTTCCTGAGTCAGCTGGGCACCTTGGCTCACACCTGTAATCCCAGCACTTTGGGAGGCTGAGCAGGACAGATTGCTTGAGACCAGGGAGTTTGAGACCAGCCTGGGAAATATGGTGAAACCTCATCTCTACAAAAAATACAAAAATTAGCCAGGCATGGGAGTGCATGCCTGTAGTCTGAGCTACTCAGGAGGCTGAGGCAAGAGAATCACTTGAGCTCGGGAAGCAGCTGTTGTAGTGAGCTGAAATCTGCCACTACACTCCAGCCTGGGTGACAGAGTGAGACCCTGTCTCCAAAAAAAAAAAAAAAATTCCTTTGTAGTTTATGAAAGTTGCAAACTCCACAACCAAGGCAGAAACTCTTGAAGAAAAACTATTTGTTTTGCTACAATTAAAAAACAAAACAAAACAAATTTATTCTTAATCTCCCGTGAACTAACTCTAGGCCAGTATCTTGAATTCCTTACAAAGACAGTTATTATATATCATGTTTTAAATTTTGCTTGATGAAAAATGTTAAAAACATTTTTTCACTGCAAGGAAAAAAATCAACAAGCAAAATTACTAAAGGTAAGCAACCTGCAATAAAACCCAGAGAGTGACAAACTTTGGAATATTTATAAATTCTATTTATCTAAAATCTAAGCGAATAAACTCAGCTAGCTGGGATTTCTTAGCACATTCTCTGAACTTTTATGGGCAAGATAAATGGTGAATAACCATGCTGACTTTAGAGATTTCATAATGAAACACTGGATCTTTAGAGATTCAATCCAATTTTCTTTGCTTGTATAATTAAAATACTACAAAAGGATAAATGGTTTTCCATTAACTAGAATACCCCATTCATGCAAAGTGGGAATTACACAAACTGCTCCAAAAGTGAAATTCGCACAAGTTCCCAAATTCTTTCCAAGATAATGCACATACTTTAGTCTGTATTTCAGCAACATCCTTAAATCGGTATAAGCTGGAAACCAGAATTTTTGCCAGCAGATGTCCAGTTCCTATGAACACATTCTTCTTTGTAATCAAGTATCCTATAAGACTTAAACCCAGACACTGAATTTCTAGGAAAATAAAAAAAAAGAATTGTTTTAAATCTCAAAACTGAAGAAAAATATTTAAAGACATCCAGTCACCAGCTAATGCCCTACAAAAATCTATTCTAAATCCTGAATTCAAATTGTACTGACCTTGGTCATCTGGATACATCTGCAGTGTGTGAAGCACTGAATCCATAGCACCTTCCAGGGATAACATCTCTAATGCATCAGGAAAATGTACAATAGAAGAAATTACTTTTAATCCACATTTCTGAATCCCAGGATTTCCAATGAACTAAAATCAAAAGAATACTCGCTGTTAAAAATGAGATCTTAATACTTACCTTAGTTAAGACCAGTTATAGACTGACAAAATATAAATCAAGTAATCCAAATATAAATCAGTATCCTTGATTTTGTTTTCTATAACATTAATTACTTTTATTTATTATGAAGAATAAGAGTTAGCATTTTTACAATTAAGGAGAGCTTGTTCTGTGCCAGGCATTGTAATAAATACTTTGTAGGCATTTTCTTTTCATAATCTCATGAAATCCATACTGATATCACTCCCATTAGAAGATGAATTCACTGAGGGTTAGAATGATTGAGAACTATTCTCAAAGTCTACACAAACTATAAATTGCAGAGATGAAACCAAACCAAATATGTTTCACCCCAGAGTCTACATACTTGACCAGTAAAACGCAATGCTGCCTCTTAACAAATAAAATATTGATAATTAGTCTTTACTGCAAGTGCTTTGCATGCGTTATTTCATTTATCCCCTCAACAGCTTCATGTAATAGGTTTGCCAAACTTTAAAGATGCAGAAATAAAAGCTCAAGTAACAGAGCTAATATGCATTGGGCCTGGGACTTGAATATAAATGTGTCCACCTTAAAAGCCCAGGATCTTAATTACGACATCATCCAACCTCTTTAATCTGAATTTCCTCCAGATGATTTGACACTATGAAGGTATTTTACTAGAGGTCACTTCTTTGTCCAGGCCATCCTACTCATCAACCAAGAAGAAAACGCAGCATACCTCTAACTCTTATTCTGGTCATCTCTGCCTTTTCACACACAAGCAATACACTCCAAACATCTACCTTGATATGAATGCTTAACTCATAGCTTTTCTTTTAAAAATTATAGTGCCATCCTTCTCAGGAATTTTGCTTTCATTTAGATGATGTTTTGCAGACACTAGTTTCATGGTACCTCCACTCCAAAGACGTGATGGCCTCCACCACAGATAATCCAAAGAGCTGAAATAGCTTCAAGCCAGACGTCTTTGACCAAAATCTTCTGCCTTCCAAGCTTCCTCATTTCTGTACTCTCAGTGAACAGATTTCCAATCCTTTCTCAGTCTAGTCCCCTAATGCCTCTCAATTATCTTTATTCAGTATCTTTTTTATAGAGGCTGAGGAGAAGCATCAGTTTCTCACCCTGTGTCCTTCTACTTCACACTTTAATTGCTCAGCTTGGACATCATTTCATTTATCATCTTAATAATACATAGTCTCCCTTGACATTTTTGTTTCCTGTCACTGTTTCTGTAAGCACATCAGCTTGGAGGCCAATTAAATTTAGGTTCAAATTATGCGAATCTGAGAACCATTAAATGAATGAAGTAACAATTACTCAGTTAGACAATGACTGCTAAGAAGTGGTAAGTTAAAAAGTGGAACTTTTATTCAAGAAATATAAAGAAATTCAAAGTTGTGCAAAGTGAAATTGGAAGGCTGGTTTGGTGTGTGTCTCAGCTTCCTCATCTCTAAAACAATTCTAATAATGTAGGGTTGTTATAAGCATGAAATGAGATAGCTCTGTCCATGGAATAAACCTTGAGAGAGTAATGATCACAGGTCAGGCCTTGGGCTAAGCGCTGTCCTCAGAGATGAAAAACAAGAGTTAACGAGAGACTTTCCCTTAATCGCTCCTCTCTTTCCTCAAGCTACCATTTTTCCTTTATTTCTAAACTTATTAGCAGAAAAGTCAACTCCCACTACCTCCACAGTCACCCTACCCTTTAATTTCGTATAATCAGACTTCTTTCCTTATTATTCTGAATTTGAACCATTCAAAGAAAAAAGTCCAATAACAACTTAATTGGTGCTTATCATCCCTTAATTTCCATGACATCGTACTCCCCTAATTATTCTCAGTCTTTAAAATCATTCCTTTACCCATCTCCTTTACAATGTCTTCTTTTACCTCCAAACCCTGCCCAAAGTTCTTTCTGTCTTCTATTCATGGATGGGATTTCATACACTAATATGACTTCAAGTCATAATAACAATAGCAATGACCACAATAACGATGCCAAAACCGAGGTAGCACTCACTCAGTGCCAGACATTCTTTTAAGAACTTCATATGTATTCACCTACTTAATCCTCCCAAAACCTTTGTGATGTCGACACACTATTGTTGTCCCGAAGTACAGATGAAAAAAATTGTGACACAGAGAGCTGTGAGCACACAAGTCAAAGCACAAGTTTAAATCTTTCAAGTTCTAAGCCCAAATTTCTTTTGGCTTGATACCAGTATCTTAAATTCAGATATTCAAGGCCAAAAGTTTAGTATCTTCTACAAAAAAAAGTCAGATTGTCATTCTGAACTTTCTGTTTGATTAACAGTACCAGCATTCCTGTTTGGCAGGCAAGGCCAGCTTCACAGGTGTGTATTTCACACAGGGCTTCATGCTCACAGAGCACTTGCTTCAATGCTCTGTTGTCACCCTTGTAAAATCGTTAATAATTTTCAAACAAGGAGTGTGCATTTCCATTTTATACTACGCCCTGAAAATTACATATCCACTTCTACTCCCAAGCTCAAAGAGCATCATAGGCTTATTTTTATGCTAAAATTATATCAAATTGATATTTATAAAGCACCTATCTCTGTCCTCAATATCTCTACATCTAACAAGCTTCTACTCATTACTGGTCCTTTTACCTGGAACTCCCCTAGGCTCTAACCATTTCAGTACAGGTTAATGATGACTAATGACTTGCAGCAGGTAATCTCTGATTTGTCTATGCAAAAAGAGAATTCAGAGTATCACATGATAACATGTGATGGTGCATTAATAAACCAATAATTTTAAATATGAGCATTTGATTTTTAATAGCTAAGTAAATGTTTAAAAATTAATATTTATATATACATATATGTATTACATAGGTATGACTATCATGATATTTACAAGCCCACAATAGAATTTCCTTTAGTTATCTAATGCTCCATCTTGAAATAGTAATGTATTGCATTGGTGCTCAAATAGGGATTAAAATCAATTTATCAGTGTCTACTTAGGAGGTGTTTTTCAAGTGAAACTCTGGAGATGCCAACAGAAGGATGGCAGCATCCTACCACCTATGCTTTTTTACTCTCCAAGTTTTTTTCAGAGAATCCATAAATATTGAAATGGTTTCTCCAATGACTGAGCTAGCCAGCTCAATGGAAAAATACTCATGCTGGCCTCTTTCCTAGCTACTAGGTAAGTAGATTAGCCAAAGAAAGGAAAACAGACTCGCATTCCCAGATAATTTGTGTTTTGTTTTCTCCCTTTATTCTTTTTCTTTTATAAATCCCATCTCTGATTTTGACAAATAAGCTAAATGTGTGGAATGATGTCCCTTGTCTATGAGTAATGGCATGGTGATAGATAGTGGTCTCTGGATTAGTCTTTGAAAAATTAGAAGATTAAGGCAAAAGAGATCCAACATCATATGACTGATAGCCCCAAAGAAGAGAGCTAAAATAATGAAAGAGAAAAATTTAGATATTTAGGCTGGTCACGGTGGCTCACATTTGTAATCTCAGCACTTTGGGAGGTCGAGGCAGGATTGCTTGAGTCAAGGAGTTTGAGACCAGCCTGGGCAACATAGTGAGACCCTGTCTCCATTTTTGTATTAAAAACAATAGTAATAAGTAAGTATATCCAGTTCTACTTCCAAACTCAGAATGCACCACAGGCTTTTTTTCATGCCAAAATTATATCAAATTGGTATTTATAAAGCACCTATCTTTATCCTTAATATCTTTACCATGTATATGTATTCGTGTATGTATATGTATATAAAGATGCAACTCAAGAAAACTTTCCAGGAAAAAAGTTGAATGTATAGCTAGAATGAGGATACCATATCCCAGGACTAACATTGAGATATACCCTAATAAAGTGGATGGATTTCAAGAGAAAAAATCCTTTCAGCACTGGGCAAAAATATCCAAGAAACAAATGAAGCTGGCCTCAGACTTCTCCACTAAAACATTCAGTACTAGAACACAGTGAAATGCCTACAAACACTTCAAGGAAAAAAAAACAATATTTTACAACCAACAAAACTTTTTTTAGGAGTCCAAATATAAAGGCAAAAACAACAACAAAATATAAACATTAAATATTCAGGGAATTAAACTTTTCTAAAGAAATTCAGACAACTAAAAGATGAGTGAAAAAACAGTAACAAAAGGACTTGAGATGAAGACTGCTTCCAAATAACGGTAGGAGTAAGATAAACACAAACTTAGAAAGCATAATTAGAAAGCTGAATATAAATATTATCTACCCTGCCAATGTGGAGTTAATTTATTGAACAAAAGTAGGTGGGAAAACAGGAGATATTAGAAGTGCAAATACTCTGATTTCCTCATCTTCTATAGCCAGGGGTCAAAAGATACTTTTAAATCTAATAGTAATAACATTAACATTTATTGAGCGCATACTATGTGCCAAGCATTATACTGACACTTTTTCATGAATTATCTTATAAAATATTCAACAACTCTAAGTGAAAAATCAGTTATTATCTCCATTTTATACATAACAAAACCAAGACATTAAGTACTTGTCCAGGGTGCATAGTCTGTAGGTAGTAGTGTTAGATTTAAATTCAGATATCTTAATTCCAGGAACCACAAACTTAGCTATTAGAAAATTTTATATAGCTAAAGCTATAAAAGCAAACATATACTTTGCTACAATTGGGTGATAAAAGTGAGGGAGAGGACATAAAGCGGTGGAAATATATTAATTTCATCCAAAAGTGTGCATAATGTGTCAACATACAGGAAGGAAAAAACGAATACCTGGGAAATACATTCGTACACATAGAAAATTGAAGATTTTTCCATAGCAGCACATTAGGAATCTCACCTCATTGTTTTTTAATATTTATGCAGGATGATACAATTTGGAAATGGTATAATTTATCTGATTAGTCTCTATTGATAGGTATTGTATTGTCAGGAAAGATTAAATTAAGCTGCAGTAACAATTCTCAAAATTTTATAGGGTGCAAAAATAATAAGTTCCATTATTGCTCATGCTACATATGTGTTGCAGGTCAGGAGGGGACTCTGCTTGTTGTAGTCCCTCAGGGACCTCTACTGATGGAGCAACTACTATCTCAAACACTGCAGGTACGATGGTACCTGAGACAGTATTCCGCAAGATGTCTCACCAGCTATTCCCTCCATTTACAACTCCCTGACCAAAATTAGTCACATGCTTCAACCTAACTACTAAATACTATGCCAGAATCACCACAAGGTGGAGAAATAAAAATATCTGGCAAACAGCATGAATGATTACCATGTAAGCATTTAGTTTGTTGCCACATTTTTAATTACGAATCATGCCACAGTGAACATTCATGTCTAATAATCTTTATGTACATGAGCAAGTATATCTACATTAAAAATTCTTAGAATGAAATTGCTGATCAGAAAACATGGCATTTTAATTTTGATAGATATTACCAAATTTCCCTCCAACAAGGTGTTCCGTTGTCATTTACGTTAATAACAATTATAGTTGAAACTTTTAATATGTACATATACCAATTTCATTATAGACTTTAAATCTCATCCATCTGTAATTTGTTTTGGCAAAAGGAGTAAGATAAATATTCAGCTTTCTTTGCTTTTCCCAAATGGCTGAAGAGTTAGTTGTTCCAACACAAGTAACTGAGTAATCTATTTTCCTCCCGCAGTCGAGGAATATCATAACATTACAAATTTTTATTTGAGTCTATTTCCTGAGCCACCCTTCTGTGGCACTGATCTCTCTCCCCTAGTGCCAGTATCACACCATTATAATTACTAAAATTGTATAATACATTTGATTATCTTTTGGAGTTAGGCCATATGAATCAACACTCTTTTTTAAAATTCTCCTGATTACTCATATGTATTAATTTTTTCATACAAATTTTACACTAGCTTACTTAGTTCCAGAAAATACTATTGTTATTTTTACTAATGGTTCATAAACATAGATCAATTTTCATTTTTAAAAATTTAGTCCTTCATCAAAAAAGATGTATCTTTTCATATATTCAACTACTCCTCTCTACCCCTAAGCTTCATAGTTTTCTGTATATTCATCCTGTAAACCTTTTTTAAATTTTACTTATATGTAATTTGTTGTTGTCATTGTTGTTGTTGCTTTTGCAGATGAGCTCTGTTTTTGACTACTGAAATCAATACATTCAATATTTAAGCTTGGTATATTTTGCTTCAAGGTTTTTGTGAAGCTCACAAGTTCTTTGATTTGTGCCCATTTCATCAGAAGACTGGTTTTACTTTACTGGATTTCCTCACTGAAGAGAACAGGAGTGTCACCGCATATAAAACACAGATGCGGCCAAAATGTGCAGAGTTTATTTTCCATTTTGCTCTCTGGAAACAATAATGAACAAATATATCTCTCTGGAACAGGTGACAAAGTCTTCATCTGTGGAAAAGCTAAAAGGATCAGGCATAAATGGAACATCGCTGTTCTAGACAGAGATTTTAACTTCAGCTTGAATTTTATTGCACTTTTATGTATCCAAACATGGATTCGCTTTATAAATACTCTTCTTAGTCTCTGCTTTATAAATCAGAGTTGAATCTCAAGTTCTACCTTATTTGGAACTCTGCTCTCCAAGTTTAGATGTATTAAAATGTAATTCATTTTCTTGTGTCTGCAATATTTGGACCTAAATCCTCTGATGCTTTGTAATTGCTATTCAGAGTAAGACATGCAATCACAGAATTTTGGAGCTACAGTAATTGCTCTCATTTTTTAGAGCCATTTTCCTCAACCATGATGAAGGATTAGGGGAATTACAGTGGAGAGGTTTTTGAAATAAAATATTGTTACTTGTGTTTCCCCATACCTTAACTCCCCACCCCTATCGATAATCAGTGCTAAGTGAAAGGCTGTGCGTCAGTACTGGCATGGGGGAAAAGCAGTGCTCAACCATTTCTTCTCAGTTGGAACAAAGTGATTTTCTCCACATCACAGCACTTACTTGCTCTCTTGGCTCCCGACTGCTGAGGTTACACCTCACTTAGGCTTCTCTAATAACTTTAGAGAATGTTGGCTAACTGGAACCAGTTATCTATACGGCTGTTTTGGTACCTCTTCCACTTTTCACCAACACTCACCATGAATAAACTTAACTGTTCCCTCCTCTACGTACTTAAACTATGTTCACAATGCTGGTATCCCTCCTAAGTGCTCATGTAGAACAACTGGTTTTATGCACAGTTGTTAATCCTCTCACAATGAGACAGGATAGGTATTAAAAGGAAGTAACCATGTCCTCAGGACGCGGCAACTGTGGCAATCTTACTGTCAATATAGTAAGTTTCAGCATTTGCATTGTAGTCCAGCTCATTTAAGCAAAGCTATCTCCAGTAGGGAATTGCCCCTGTATGGAGCATGCACATTTTTTTTTAATTATACTTTAAGTTTTAGGGTAGATGTGCACAACGTGCAGGTTAGTTACATATGTATACATGTGCCATGTTGGTGTGCTACACCCAGTAACTTGTCATTTAACATTAGGTATATCTCCAAATGCTATCCCCCCTCCCCCCACCCCACAACAGGCCCCAGAGTGTGATGTTCCCCTTCCTGTGTCCATGTGTTCTCATTGTTCAATTCCCACTTATGAGTGAGAACATATGGTGTTTGGTTTTTTGTCCTTGGCATACTTTGCTGAGTACCATCCATGTCCCTACAAAGGACATGAACTCATCATTTTTTATGGCTGCTTAGTATTCCATGGTGTATATGTGCCACATTTTCTTAATCCAGTCTATCATTGTTGGACATTTGGGTTGGTTCCAAGTCTTTGCTATTGTGAATAGTGCCACAATAAACATAGGTGTGCAAGTGTCTTTATAGCAGCATGATTTATAATCCTTTGGGTATATACCCACTAACAGGATGGCTGGGTCAAATGGTATTTCTAGTTCTAGATCCCTGAGGAATCGCCACACTGTCTTCCACAATGGTTGAACTAGTTTACAGTCCCACCAACAGTGTAAAAGTGTTCCTATTTCTCCACATCCTCTCCAGCATCTGTTGTTTCCTGACTTTTTAATGATCGCCATTCTAACTGGTGTGAGATGGTATATCATTGTGGTTTTGATTTGCATTTCTCTGATGGCCAATGATGATGAGGATTTTTTCATGTGCCTGTTGGCTGCATAAATGTCTTCTTTTGAGAAGTGTCTGCTCATATCCTTTGCCCACTTTTTGATGGGGTTGTTTTTTCTTTCTTGTAAATTTGTTGGAGTTCATTGTAGATTCTAGATATTAGCCCTTTGTCAGATGAGTAGATTGCAAAAATTTTCTCCCATTCTGTAGGTTGCCTGTTCACTCTGATGGTAGTTTCTTTTGCTGTGCAGAAGCTCTTTAGTTTAATTAGATCCCATTTGTCAATTTTGGCTTTTGTTGCCACTGCTTTTGGTGTTTTAGACATGAAGGCCTTGCCTATGCCTATGTCCTGAATAGTATTGCTTAGGTTTTCTTCTAGGGTTTTTATGGTTTTAGGTCTAACATTTAAGTCTTTAAACCATCTTGAATTTATTTTTGTATAAGGTGTAAGGAAGGGATCCAGTTTCAGCTTTCTACATATGGCTAGCCAGTTTTCCCAGCACCATTTATTAAATAGGGAATCGTTTCCCCATTTCTTGTTTTTGTCAGGTTTGTCAAAGATCAGATGGTTGTAGATATGCGGCATTATTTCTGAGGGCTCTGTTCTGTTCCATTGGCCTATATCTCTTTTTTGGTACCAGTACCATGCTGTTTTGGTTACTGTAGCTTTGTAGTATAGTTTGAAGTCAGGTAGCGTGGGGAGCATGCACATTTTGATTTTCCTTGTCCTCAGACTGACCCTTTGCTCATTATAATAGTAAAACACACACCCCTGGGTGGAGATTTCAGATACTTATGAGACATGCGATATATGAACAAGCATGTACAGCTACTGCACATGTTCACTCAGAGGACAACCTAGAATATGCTTACTAGTAACACTTCTTCCCACCCACTTATGAAAAATCATGTACAACTCCCACAAAGGGAGTCTTCCTAGTGCCAATTTACGCTGTCTCATCCTTACTAGTAAGCCCACCCTGAATTCTGTCAGGGTATAAGTGTCTATTCCTCACTTAACTTGCAAAATATTCTTTTTCTTTTGCAATAAATTACTCGATGCTGCATCTCCTCTGCTGTGTGTCTCTTGTTTAAAGAAAAGAACCAAGGTTTCACAACAGCCATCAACAACCGGCTTATGAGATTCAGGAGAGAAGAGTACAAAGCATATTTATTTATCTTCTAAATGCCTAACCCCTTCCTTCCATATACTTATTTTCAACAAATATTTCTCAAGATAAATTTAACCCATTACAACATAAATTCTTGCCATACTCAAGGATTGTATTAAAGTTTGAGTATAAATGACTCAAACATATTATAGGCAGTGAGTGACAGTATAAAGTTCAATTTAAAATGAATTTTTAAGGGAGATCTCTCTGGAAGCCACTTTAATTAATTTATGACATTCATCAAAGTATATCAAATCACATGGAATCATTTCCATTAATTATTTTAAATAGGCTCCTCCTTTTATAAAAATGTTCACACTAATTATGTCTTTATTCTTAACATCTTTAATAAAGAACCAATTCATCTTATGCAAAATTTCCAAAACTTCTTAATTCCACCAATACTTTTTGCATTACACAATTTAAATGTAATTCCCTTCTTCTCTTTTTCATACTCAGTATGATTTATGGATACTTTAATTATAATGTAGGAACATGGATATGTAAATGCTAAAAAATGGAAACAATGTATACCAAATCATTTCAGAGGTTATTTCTCCGGAGAACAATGAAAAGGAGCGTAGGGAATCAAAGAAGACTTTACTGTTTTTGTTTGTCTGTTTTTGTTTTTGTTTTGAGACGAAGTCTCACTCTTGTCGCCCAAGCTGGAGTGCAGTGGTGTGATCTCAGCTCACTGCAACCTCTGCCTCCTGGGTTCAAGCGATTCTCCTGCCTCAGCCTCCTGAGTAGCTGGGATTACAGGCACGTGCCACCATGCCCAGTTAATTTTTGTATTTTTAGTAGAGACAGGGTTTCACCATGTTGGCCAGGTTGCTCTCGAACTCCTGACCTCGTGATCCACCCACCTCAGCCTCCCAAAGTGCTGGGATTACAGGTGTGGGCCACTGTGCCCAGCCGAAGACTTTACTGTTAACACTGGTATGTCTTCATGGGCTAAACCATATACTATGAGACCAGAAAAGAAAGACAAGTAGCCAGAGGACAGAAAGAGAAAACAGCAGCCATAGTACCCAGCATGACTCACAAGGTCTAGCTGCATATATGGCTCTTTGGTTCTCTTTCTGGTTGAGCAAACTAGAGTGGATTTATGTTACTGGCAATCAAAAGAATCTTGCCTACATCTATAATTGATAATACACTTAGCTGGACTTAGCTTAGTACATATCTTTTCACTTCCCACATCCCCACTGTCATCTTATGTCTCTAACCACATGACTTCCTCCTATCATAGCAAACGGAGAACAGAAAACTTAGACTGAAAAAGCGCCCCTAGTTCTCCAAATTTAATATTTTAGTTAATAGTATAAATACAGAAAACTTATATTCAACATACCCTGTTCAAAGCTGCTAGGACCAGTTTGTGAATATCATTCTTGAAACACTGTTTTTTAACCATATTTAGCTTATGATGAAATTCTGTATCCTCCCTGGATTCTTCTGGCATGCCTAAATGCACAGATAAATAAATAAAGAAAGAATTTTCTTATAAACATTTGAGTTGAACAGACTGTTACTTTCTAGAAATTGTCATAATTAATCTCACAATATATGTGTTGTACTTTTTTCTAGTACATGTTTCCTTATCAAATAAATAACCAGAAATTTTAAGGAATCTATAAAAATAGTTCATCACTGAATATAAAATAAATATAATGTGTAAGAATGCTTACTGAATTTGAAGTAGCAAAAAATTACGATGGTGAAGAAATTTTCTGTAGCAAACAATCACTTTTTTGTGTGAGTAGGCTGTGCTTTAAGATGCTGGAAGATTTTTATGCAACAATGGACAACATGAGAAAAGCTCAGAGTTACTTGGACCACAACATAAAAAGGCAGAAATGAAATATAGACAAAAAAGAGTAGCTGGAATAATCGTAGCAAAAAATAAGATTTGAGTTTCAGTATTAAGGTGGTAGAGAACATGTCATTTTTTAGAAGTTCTGTAAAGGCTATATAATAGCATTGCTATTTTAAAAAATCATATTCTTTATTAAGCTACACTGTAGCTGAACTATGCTAAAAACACTACAAGTCAAAAATGTGGTAATGTAACATATAATTAAAATTATTATGAATGAATAATGTTTTCCAAACCTAAGATTATAGACATAAATATTAATAAAAAATCATTTATGATCTTCCACTTTAATAATCTGCATTAATGCAAACTGTAAGCTGGCTACAACAGGCTTTTCATTTATTTAAGAAGCATCTGAATTCCAATTACATGCCAAGGATTTTGTTAATGCTGGGAATACTATGGTAAGGAAGGCAGCCTTGATAACCACCCTCCTCCAACTTTCAGTCCTTATTTTAAAATGTACTCAAAGAGGTTCTGACATTCACCTCTTGCCGTGTGGTCTGGGGCAAGTCCCTTAAACTGTCTGTGTATCATTTCCAGTGAGCAAGACCACAGTAACTTCTGAGGCTGCCTATTACACCTTAAGAAGATGTGACCACTAAAACTGGCCTGAGTAGTAAAAACATCATGCTACATGTAATGGGTCTTATTTAACATCTTCCTTAAATTAAGACCAAATGAACATTCCTGTAAATTTCTTCTCCAGTCTTTGTTCTATCACTTGAGGTCCTACTATTCAAATGGATATAATTTCCTTTCTACATAACAGTCCTTTAGGTCGTGTGGACTGTAAATTTTTTTGAGAGCAGTATCCATAATCTCATCATCTCCCGATACCTTAAGGATTCTAGACATAGTGCTTTAAATACAACAGTTGTTCAGGACAAGATTGTTGCACAAATATTTATTTTAAAATGCCTACTCTGGAGTCAGCCTGCATAAGCTGAAAATCTGGTGCTGTTATATCAGGCCTGACCTTAAAAATCTCTACAATTCTATGCCTCAGTTTTGTAGTCCATACAATACCAAAATAATAATAATAATAATATCTGCCTCATGGAGTGCTGTTAGAATCAGAAGAGATAATATACTTAAAATACTTCAAACAATGCCTAATACTTTTTAAGTCCTCCATATTGTTTGGTATTATTACTGTTACTGGTTATAAGTAAGTAGATTTGAATAGAGTTTCATATCCCTTTGAGTCATCTCTTCTTCAAATAAAACAATCTCAGTTCCTCTTATTGCTCTTTTTGATGTGCTTTTATCTCCCTAATCACTCTCCTCTATATACTTCCCAATTTGCCTATATCCCTTCTTAAAGAATTTCACATTATTTCCTCTAAAACTAGCAGTAACTCAAGAAACAAGTCAAATGATATTTTATTAAAGTAACTGGGTCTTCATTATTATTTTCTTAAAGCAACCAGCTCAATGTCTATATAACAAGTTATTATAAAGTAGAAGAGAAAAAGTACAGTAATAGATTGAAAGAAACTTAAGATATATGCACTAGATGCAATATGCTATCCTTAATTGGACCCTAAATTATACACATTTGCCATAATGTACATCTTTGCCACTAAAAAACCTGAATATAATCTAGCTAATAAATGAATACATGTACACCTAGGTATCTCATAAGAACCTCAACTTAACATGTTCAAACCAGAATCATATTCAACCTCAAAACTACTGGAGTATTGCTACCATAGTTACTTGTTGATACCTAGAATGATACGGTACTGCACGGCATGGTACATTACGTTGGGTACAGTACAGTATGGTGTACTGTGGTAGTATAATATGTTAGCATACAGTAAATGATTAAGCCTTTACCTACTAGAAGAATGTACTTACATACTGATATGCTTATAAAATGTATTTTTTTACATTAAGTACAGTCCTCAAGTGATTATTTTCAAGGGCACCCATAATACATCTGATTGATTGTTAACTAACAATTTTCCTTCAGGATCAGTTTAAGAACAATAAAAGAAAAGAAATACTGTATTCAAAACTTGCTTTTGGACTAAAAGAGTATTATTTTATTAACTAACAGAAACGGTTTTTGAGTGTCCTTTGGTTATCTTTAAAACCCAAAACCTCCCTCAAAAGAATAAGGCTGTCAACTTTAAGGATAATCAAAAGGCATTTTTATTGTTTTTAATTACAATCTAAAAATAAAATTCAATAAAACATGCAATAATATTTTCAAGTAAAATTACATCTGTTACATTACGTCTCAAAACTAAGCTGAAACTATGAATAGGACACCATGATTCAATTTTTAAAATACTGATTGAATAGCCACCAGAGGACTGGGGGGCCCAGAAAAAAATGACTGAAGAAAGCTCTGTCCTTGAAAAAACTTTTATATTGAGTAATACTCTTATACAGAGAAACAAAATACCTATATAACTAGAGAAAATGATAGATTTAGGAAGATTTCATTTTAAAAGAACAAAGCAAAAATGACTTCAAAAGATTGGGAACTTCACAGAACAAAGTATCATCCCTCATACTTAGGGATCACGATGTCACATCAAACAGATCTCCCAACCATCTGTCCAATCTGCCCTCTCATCTGTGTTTCCATTGCTGGGTCCCTTCACTGGGTCTCACTTGACTACCATGGACCTCCAACCCAATCTCCTTGTATCTAGTCTCTCTCCCTGTCTATCATCCTCTGCACCACAATGCTATTGTCTTTAGTTGCAAATTTCGGTGTGACACTACAATCTGCAAACAATTTTAATAAACTTGGGTTGGCTTCCATTTTTAAAAGGCAAAAAATTTTTAGCACTGCATTCAAGGCCCTTTTCTTTGGGCCTCAGCCTTTCCTTCCACACTCATCCCCAAGCACTCCTCTCCTTATCCTCCATGCCTCACTCACCCCCGACCATGTGCACTTTCTTCTGCTTGAAATGTCTTCCTTGGCCTTTCTACCAGGCCAGCTCTATCTACCCTTCCACCTCAAATATTACAATCTCTGTCCTACTCCTTTGAAGAAATTATTTGTGCCTCCATCGATATTCTCAAAGCCTTTTATATATGCATCTATCATCGCCTCTCTCACGCTGCCTGTTAATTATCTATTTACACTTCCATCTACCTCTAAGCTCCTATAATAGTACAGTTGTGCTTTTTTTCCAATTCATCTTTTAAAGTTTAACAGCATCACAGTGCTTAGAACATAAGAAGCACTTAATAAATGTGTTGGATGAATACAGACATAGGTGTTTTAAAGGGGCTTTGGAGAACAAATAAGGTGATAACAGATGTCAGTAACAATTAAAGGTGGGTGGAGGGTGGAAGCCATTGAGGTAAATGAGTACAAGCCACATTGGAGAAAGATTAATTCAATCATAGAGTAAGAAAAGGATAGAAATGAAGGAAGAGAACAGGTATGAAAATTAGCTAATAGTACAATTCAAACAAGAGAAAAAAAGCTTGAACTCAGGTCATGGCAACAAAAATAGAAAAGAATTATCAGAGATGAACACCCTCCTTAAAAATAAAAGCTCCACATTTTACATTGTAGTTACTTTGTATAAATAAATTACTGAATTCATATTGCTTTCTTATAAAAATTAATCTAAGTGACTCTTCTGCATCATATTTAACCTCTTTTTGGTTTAACAGAAAGATTTACATTTAGTCGACAGAAACTAGTCTTTTAATATTTGCCTAGAATATTGCTATTTCATGAAAAATCAAAAATCCATTTAAATTGTTATCTCTTCCCACAATCAACTATGTAACTTACCAGGCACTATAAAATGTAAAATAGCTCGAAGCGCCTCCAGCTGCACTGGTAATGATGTCTCATGACGTTTCATAACTGTTAGTATTTTGGGGACCACTGCTGCCATTATATCCAGGGAAGTGTTGCTGGGGATATAAAATTGGCATGCTTATTGAAAGACTGATCTGATTCAATGGTATAAACACCAAATTGAAATAAGTACAGGAGGGCAGAACCAATATATTTTATCAGGAAAGACTATATGAAAATGCATTTGAAATCAGTAGTATGAGCATACATAATTTTAATTGTCTAAACTTTGAACTCATAAGATAGAATTCATAGTAATCCGGGAATTATTTCACTTCATAAAACTAACAACATCCTTCTGACCTACGATGGGTCAATAACAACAATCCCAGCAGGTAGGTGTTATTATCCCCATTTTCTACATGAAGAACTTAGACAGATAGAGGTTAAATATTCAGGTCTTATCACTAGAAAGTGACAGAGACAAGGCTGGTACCCAAACTTGTCTGACCCCAAGACAAGGCCTCTTTACATCACACGAACCTTCCTCTTCCAGATTAACATCACTGGACTTCTTATAAGGTATTTTTAATTATTTTTAATTTGTTTTACAGTCTTGGTTTCTCTCAGGTATTTAAGCTATTCTTTCTTTTACATATGAGCAAATGTCACTTGACTAGAATGCAGTAGGTACTATGAACTTTAATACAGTCAATCCTTGCTTTGCTTGTTAACTGAAACTTGTGCATATCAGAACCATGTTCTCACTTTGCATGGTTCTGTGGACACTGAGATACATTCCTTCTTTTCCAACTTAAAGTCCCAGTTTAAACACATCCCTCCATTGGAGCCTCCCCTCCTTGGGTAACCCCAGCTGAGTCCACTCTACTCTTACCATTGCGTCTTTTACACACTACTGCCACTGCATTCTGAGACTGTATTATAATAATCTGTTTACTTATCAGTCTCTCGACTCACATGAGTTCTGTAGGGGCAGACACACTGTCAGAGCCAATGCGGAATCTCCAGGGCTGCAACTGTACACATTTTACGTAAGAGCATGCAGCGAGAAACATTAAATGCCTTGCCCAGAATCTACAGAATCCTAGACTGGAGTTTATTCCGCTGTGTTTTTGCCTCATTTGTAAAGGTTTGCACACTTCCGGCCCCATTAAAATCAACATTTAAGATAAACTTTTCATCTCAGTGTTCAAAAACAACACTTAAATAAGAGAAATACAGCTTAGAAAGATATATAAACATAGATTAGTTAGACTGATGTTAAAAACAGTGTAACCCTACTTCTTACAAGTCTGCAGTTACGCTACATTTCATGCTATATGCACTTCATTTATTCACACTTAGTAACAGTATAACAACAATAGACACAATTTGTTGAGTGCTTAAAATGCAGCAGGCATTATCCTAATCCCTTTGTAAAAATTAATTTATTTAATCCTTACATTCTAAGCTTACAACTTTCAAAGTTGTTATTATCATTCCTCTTTATCAATGAGGAACGTGAAGTTTTAGAGATGAAACAGTTGGCTCAAATTAGTGGCAAAACCAGGAACAAAATTAGTTTTCACTGCAACTTCTGTGCCAATTATTTTTTTTACACATGAGAGTTCTGCCCACACCTACCACCCCTCACCCCCACCTCATCCCACCCTGCCCCACCACCATCCACACATAGATCAAAGGATATGGTCTCTGTTGTGCCACTAACCGCCAGCTATATAATCTTAGCATCTCTGCACTTGGACTAGATGTAGTTAAAATTTTCCCTAACTAAGGATTGAGAGCAGGAAGAGAAGACAAAGTTCATTCAGATGAAGGAATAATATATTCGTTGTGAAAGAGCAAAATTTAGCCATAAACTGATTTTATCTTTTATAACTTTCACACACACAATAATTAGAAAAACTGCTGTATGCTATGTGCTATACAATTACCACTTTTCAAAATATAGTCAACATCAAGCATCAGGTTCAAAAGCAAACCTTCAACATGTTTCCACAATCTTGCCATTCCTTTCAGTGTTCAGATAAAGTAAGTCTATGGTACTAGTGACACGAGATTACATTGCAAAATGCTTCAGTTTTCAAGTGTCTTATGTTTTTCTTTTTCTTTTCATTGTTAGAAATATGCTTGAAATATTGATATTCTACCTGGCCCAATATGATATATTCTGTACAAGTTAATGAATCTATATTACCTTCCTTCAAAAAGATGATTTAGCATTTTACAGCCACTTTCAGCCACTTCAGGAGAATGTATATGCTTCTGCATTAACTCCAAAACATTCAGGTGTATTCCTTTTGATAACAGTATTTTTCTGAAATTAACTGAGATTTTTTAAAATGTTACTTATAGATATGAAAGCATATTTTCATAATTTTACCATAAGCTTTAGAATATTAATATAGTCCAAATTTACAGGAAAGCATATACAAGAGCACACATAATTTATAGTTCATTGACAGCTTAAAGATAATTCATGTTTATTTCTTTAAAACACATGTCATTTCCAATTTTTTTTGCCTTTATTAACCCTTTGTTGGGATTTTGGTTTTAACATTTTTATTCATAGAGTAGATGGTTTTAATGTAATCACCGTGTCTCTGTCCATTGTGAAAAGAGTGTTTTTGCAGGAAAAAAGAAATCTGTTTAAATAATGGTCTCCAAAATAAGAATGAAAGTTAAATTGTATTCCAATACTTAAAACAAGTTCACAAATAACTGCACTTATATAAAGCTAAGACTAACCAGATATGCTAGACACTGGTGGGCTGGGAATGAGTTATAAGCATGTGGAGGTATCGACCATTCACTCAGCTTTTTGGGAGTGTGGGGAATGAAGGGGCTGTAAAAGGCTTGGTTGCTTTCAGCCTTCAGCTGCTTTGTCCATTTATCCCAGTGGACTTTACAAACATTATAATTTCTATATATGCCATCATATACAAATGAATGGAAAGCATTTACATAGAACATAAGTAATTACAGTTATTTTCACAAAGTAATGCCAAAGTCTAGGAAACATATAGATATGCTTTACAACTGGCACTTCACTATTTGTGGAAAGTAACTATATTCCAGCAATAATGATTAAGGAATAATTTTCCTCTTTTTTTGTTGGTGTTTCTTTTTGTGACAGCATCTCTCTCTGTTGCCAAGGCTGGAGTGCAGTAGCATGATCATAGCTCACTGCAGTCTTAACCTCCTGGCCTCAAGTGATCCTCCTGTCTCAGCCTCCAAGTACCAGGGACTACAAGTGTGCCACCATGCCTGGCTAATTTTTGTTAATATTTTGTAGAGAGGGGATCTCACTATGTTGCCCAGCCTGGTCTTGAACTCCTGAGCTCAAGCAATCCTCCTGCCTTGGCCTCCCAAAGTGCTGGGATTACAGGCGTGAGCCACCACAACTGGCCAATTTTCCTCTTTGTAATAAACTTCCTTCACTAAACATAAACCTACTGTCTTCAAGTTTCCACATAAATATCAATTGTCTTGAAGCCGCTATAAAAATATCAGTTCCAACATTACACACTGTGATTCAACACTTTGAAAGTGGCAGAAAAAGAAACATAAAAAGTTTTAACTTAAGTACTGCTTTTAAAATAAGTAGTCTATCTTAAGAAGATAGGACAAAACATGGAAATAAATAGAAATCACATACACATTCTAAAATACTGCCAGAGCCTGAAAAACTCATACCTTTTAAACACATTCAGAATATCACATATTAAGATACAATAAAGAGTTGGTTACTTTGCTTGATCACATCAGAAGTTGTAATAACCTTTCCCAAAGTGGCTAGCTTCTAGCCAAGAAGACACTTTAAAAGACAAAAATGACACTGGGTTAGTGGTTCTCAAACTTTAGTGTGCATCAGAATCACCTGGAGAGCTTGTTAAAACATGGATTGCTGGGTCTCAACTCCAGGGTTTGTGATTGAGAAGGTCTGTATGGGGTCCTTGAATTTACACTGTTTATCAAGTTCCCCCAGCAAATGCTGCTGGTCCAGGAACCACACTTTAAGAATCACTATCCTAGACAGTAACCCAATGTGTGGTTTGAAAATTGCAAGCAATAAACCTAGAAGAAGAAATTTCATCATAAAGTCACGTTAGACTTTATAGAACATTTTACACACTATCGCATTTACCAGCTATCTACGTAATACTCTTGATCTCATCCACTCCATTTTAACAGGAAATTAACTGCTTTCAGAGGCAAAAAACAATATGCGACGCCCTGCAGGTCTTACTCAATAGTCACCTTCTTTCCTGGCTGCCTATTCACAACTTCATCTCCTCTGATGTCTAACATATCATATTCTCCTTCCTTGCTTCATTTTTTATTCTTAACTGCCTCAAATATTACATATTTTAGTTAATCTTATTATCTTCCCTACTACAGTTTAAACTCCATGAGCCTGGGATTTTTACTTAATGAATGCATCCCAAGTGCCTACAGACACTACACACTTGGGAGCTCAATAAATATTAGTTAATTAATTGAATAGGAAAAATGTCACACAAAATGTATGCAACCTTGGGACCTCCATGATTCCAAGGACGCAGTTCTTCTGCCTGCCAATGTAGCCATTTTTTCTAAAAACATAAAGCCATGCTCAGCTCTGCACACCCAAAGACACCCAAGTGTCTTTCAATGAGAAATTGCCCAAGAAAGTTGATGAACGAGCTACTCAAGTTCTTCATGCTTTATTAAGGCAGAACTCCAAAGACAATACAAAAGGATCTGAGGACATTTTACTTGACAGGTGATCAGGAACAAAGAAGTAAGGAACTAGAAAGAGCAGAAAACTGAACAAAGACATCAGGGTGGACTCTGAATGTAACCAGTCCTCAGACACCACAATAGGAAGCAGTCGAAATTTCACAAAGTTATGGTTGTTTGATTTGCATATCAAAGGAGATTTCCAGGTGGTTATGAATGATGTCACCAACACAATGTTGTCTGTACATAGTAAAAGTCTACCTCCACTCTAAAGGTGCCCCAACAGAAGCCACAAAGTCCAGTCCTCATTTTCAGGAGTGAAATCCCTGTCCAGACCTCTTTAACTGCACAGTAGAATAAGAGAGATTCGAGAACAGCGATTCCCTCTCCTTCCCCTTTGACTCATTATCCTTGAGAGCAGCCCCTGTCTGTCTGTCAGTGCCCTGGCCACTCCAAGCGTTTTATTAAAGTGCCATTGGAGAGGTGAGATGAAAAAGGAGGAAGAGGAAGAAGAAATGATTTTCCTCTTTATTTGACTTCAATAATAATATAAAGAAACATGCATGAGGTGGTTGCTTTATTTTTTTTCCACCCTACCCAGTTTCTCTATTAAAAGCTGATGCTTACACTGGTCTCTGTCTCTGACTTTCAGTGTTTTTCTCTATTTTTTGCCCTCTAAAAATGTCCTGCAAAAGCTGCCAAGTCCCAATGCCTTTATGATGAGTTTTCACCTAAGGATTTCTGGCAGTATTCCTGTTTATGGGGGAAGAAATTTGAGCAGCCTGAACCATAATCTTAAAACTCATGTCTTTCTAAAGGGATACAAGCCATTTTTCTCTTCATAATTATACAAAGCTATAAGATTTATAAGAATTACATTAAAGAACGATTTTTTAAAAAAGTATAGTGTGGAAATTTATAATAGACAATTTTACCAGATTTTAAAATGGTGAATAGCTCTCTACCCAGTTGCATTTCTATGAAATTTTCCCAAGAAAATAATAGGAACCATGTATAAAGGAAAACAGAGGAGGAAAGTGATCACTGGTGTTTACTATGGGTTCCAGAAACATCCCACTGGACACAAACTAAAACTTCATCAGTAAGAAATTGGTTCATAAAACAGAATACAGGCAAGCACTGAAAAACTACAAAGCTATTAAAAATTATAATTTGGGCCGGGCACAGTGGTTCATGCCTGTAATCCCAGCACTTGGGAGGCCAAGGCAGATGGATTGCTTGAGCCCAGGAATTCGAGACCAGCCTGGGCAATATGGCAAAACACCATCTCTGCAAAAAATTAGCCAGGTATGGCAGTGCATGCCTGTAGTCCCAGATACTCAGGAAGCTGAGGTGGGAGCATCACCTGAGTCCAAAAGTTTGAGGTTGTAGTGAGCCATGATCATGGTACTGCACTCCAGCCTAGGTGACAGAGTGAGACCATATCTAAAAACAAAAATTAATTTAAAAAATTAAAAATAAAATGATAATGTGAGAATACACATGTATCAACATAAAAAAGAGAATAAATAAAATTTGGTTATAAAAGAGTATAATATGATCCCATTTCTACAAAATACATAAAATTTTGTATATGTCATGTGTGAGTTTACACATAGAAGTCCGGAAAAATATACAACAAATGTTTATTTTATTCTTCATCCTTTTACCTATATATTCATAATCCATATGTCAATACATCTCTACACATAGAGATATCTTTCACAATATATAGCTTTATAAATTATGTAAATTTTTCACAGTATATAGCTTCTATAATTAAAAATACCACAAAAATGTGTTTCCCTTTATTTGAAAACATGGCCCACTGCTTACCATTTTGTTCTAAGAGAGTTGACAATGCATTCGCAGATGCCTGGAAAACTTCCTTTGATGAAGAATGCATCAGCATGGAGAGCATCACTTCCCTATGAGCTGGGAAACTTTCAAAAATTCAAACAAAATGTTAGTAGTAATCTTTTAAATAACTATCTCAAATTCTCACTTGCCATTATCAAATATCTCTAACAACAATTAAGAGCATATAAACAATATTTCATGCCACCTCCACTTACAAGAGTGAATTATAGTTCATTTTTTAAGACTCGAATTAATTAAATCCTAACAAATTAGTATTTTTATGCTTTTTCAAAAGCATATGCAGCAGAGAGAAATAAAAAAGCTCAGCAGATATGTAAAGAGATGCTGAGGAAAAAGGTAAAGTGAGGAGAAGAGAATGGAAACAAGAGAGGAAAAACTGAAAATTGTAAAGAAGCAAGGTAGGTTTTAAAGATGTATAACGTAAATATATTTTCTTTGTTTTAATAATATATTTATTTTAAAGTTATCTTATGGATATTGAAAAATAGGTATCCTATGAACTGAAATTTATAAACTGCGACATGAATCTCCCTTACCCTAATCTCCAAAAGCCTTGCTCAACATGAGATTATTAAGATGCCAATTTAGCATAGTTTTCAAAAGAATTACTGTTTCTTGTCAAAATGAAAATATTTAATTAAGTAGCATCTGTGTTATTAATTCCCTTCTTATCAGCAATAGATAATTAAACAAATAGACGGTCAAGATTTCAGACATAGAATACTACTATTTGTTTCCAAAATAAGTCATTCACTATTTAAAACCCAGAGGATACCCATTGCAAATAGCACAAGTATAATCAATCAGTTGCCATAAAACACAAAGGCTCACGGATATGAAACAAACCTGATATGCACAAAACTCCTTGCTACAGCTTGTATCTTTGGGAGAGAGTGCCGGTCTTATGATGTTTGAATGGCACTCCTATTGAAAGAGTTATCCAGAGATGACAGCTTCAAATAACCCTCTCGAAAGAAGACAGGTCAACTCTGTCACATCAGTTGGGAACTCATCATAGGAAGCTCTCTAACCAAATCTAATTTCTGATATTGACAACCTGCTGGCTAGTCACCATAGAAGAAAAGATCACAGATGGCTCTGCAATTTCTATCACCCAAGATGAATTAATATGGCATTTTAAAACGATCAGCCAGAAAATAGAAAGATTCTTTCTCCATGATTCATGAATTACCAAATGACCCTTGATTCCAAATCTCTCAATAATAACTCTCATTCTACCTTTTCTAACTCCTGAAGGTGATGAGATCAAAATACTACATACCTACTACTATTTTGCAGCAACATCTAAAACTAAATGCCTATATCAAAAATATTTCTAACAATAAAAGTTACGGTTAAGGTATTTTATAGGTATTGATTTAAAATATAACTGAAATTTTCTATCATATAAAATCAAAACTACTAACTGGCCATCTTCATCTCCAATCTTCTCATGTAAACTGTTTTGGTACATAAGGAGATTATTTAGTGCCCAGCATGCGGCCTCCTGGATTAGGGGAGAAAAAAGAAATCTGTCAAAATATAAATGACTGGAAAACATAATTTTGAATAACTCTAATATTTATGAGAGTCCTACCTGCACGTGCTTGTTCTTTCTATGCCACGTTAATGCTTTGTAACAGGCTTCCAGCCAAAACAATTTATCTTCTTCCCCCTCATCATCATTCTCTTGATTCTCATTCTTTTCCTCTAAATCTTGATTTAAGAAAATAGTCTCAGCTTGAAAAAAATTGAAAAATATATAAAAACATTATATATATTATCTACTTAACAGTTTGACCAACTCTAAGTCCATATTTTGAAATATTACCAACAGAATGAGGTGTGCTTTAGGAGAAGCCTTGGTCAATTATAAAGATAATTTTTAATATATTATACGTCTCATAATGCTACCATCCTATCCAGATAAATAATAAAATGAGGAAGAAGGTACCAAAAAAAAAAAAAACCTAATAGACGAGAGGAGGATTATTTGAAAAGATTAGTTCATCACAGCACTATTCACAAGAGCAAAGACATGGAATCAACCCAAATGCCCATCAATGATAGACTAGATAAAGAAAATGTGGTACATATATACCATGGAATACTATGCAGCCATAAAAAGGAATTATCTCATGTCCTTTGCAGGGACACGGATGGAGCTGGAAACCATTATCCTCAGATAACTAACACATGAAGAGAAAACCACACACTGCGTGTTCTCACTTATAAATGGGAGCTGAACAATGAGAACACATGAACACAGGGAGAGGGACAATACACACTGGGGCCTGTTAGGGGATGGGACTGGAGAAGGGAGAGCATTAGGAAAAATAGCTAATGCATGCTGGGCTTAATACCTAGGTGATGGGTTAATAGGTATAGCAAACCACCATGGCACACGTCTACCTATGTGAAAAACCTGCACATCCTGCACGTGTACACCAGAACTTAAAACACAAATAAATTATTTTTTTTGAGATGGAGTTTCATTCTTGTTGCCCAGGCTGGAGTGCAGTGGCACAATCTCAGCTCACTTCAACTCCTACCCTCCAGTTCCAAGCGATACTCCTGCCTCGGCCTCCCGAGCAGCTGGGATTATAGGTGCCCGCCACCATGCCAGACTAATTTTTATATTTTTAGTAGAGATGGGGTTTCACCATGTTGGCCAGGCTGGTCTCGAACTCCTGACCTTGTGATCCACCCGCCTCGGCCTCCCAAAGTTCTGAGATTACAGGCGTGAGCCACCATGCCCAGGCACAAATAAAAATTTTTTTAAAACAGATTAGCTGCTTAATGACAAAGCTAAATCAAGAATGATGTAAAGCAAAACTCTACATTGAGATGTGTATATTTGTCACAACTGTTAGTTTCCTTGAAAGTATCCTCTACTGGAAAATGAGCTACACAGGACAGAAAAGGCATTGAATGCTTCCATCTGTACATATGATTCTCTTGTTACAATGTTCATATTTGATGTCAAATGCCTCTGTAAGAATCCCCTTTTTAGTGAAGTTACTTACTGAGGAGGGCCAAACAGCTGAGCGCTGAGATCTGCAATGCTGCATTCTCTGGGTACTGCTGCACAGCTTTCACCACAAACTCATGGACTTCGTTTAATACCAGGATATTGAAAAAATTACCTAAAAGTTAAGTGAAACATTAGCTGAATTCTCATCCATGGAAGTTAAATTACCTTTAACATATAACACTATTTACATCAATAATTTTGAATGGTGATGAATATTCAATGGCATTAAAACATTTACTTTAATTAAAATAGCTTAATATGATTGAGTAAAGTTTTGAAATTTTATTTTATGCTGTCCTTTAATTATCTTACTTAGACAATGGAAGTGATTGAGCAAAAGTAATGATACTAGTTTGCGTTGTATTAACTGTATGTTCTCTGATTCCCTCTCATGTCATGTCTGTGACACACGGCACGACAATATTCATTGTGTAAAATAACTTAATTTTTCTGTCTTTTAAAGTTGAAACTCTTAAATCCATCTTTTGGAAGACCCAATATTAAATCATTTTACTGAAACACTCTTCTTTCACTTAAAGGAATAGTGCTTAGAAAATTCATTGGCATGTTTACCATTATTTGATCTTGTCTATGATGATCTCAGAAAAAAAAAAAAAAAGGTATTTCACCACCTCCAACCCACCCCAGGAAGAAGTCCCATACCTTTTTATACCCACTCTTCTGAGAATTAATATGATATCCAAGAGTCTAAATCCTTATGAGGAAAAACTTTACCTGATACTGCAGAAATATGTACCTTCTTCTATTTGGCTTATTTGTAACTCACTAACAGTTACCAAGCTTCTTTCTAAAACAAGGAATTGAAACTCCTATTCATCTATAAGTGTAACTAAGTGATCTCTGAGATACAAAGCCAGAAATGGAAAATATCCTGTATCATAAAAAACCTAAAGCCCAAACTAAATATTCATCAACGGCCTCACAATCAAAAGGCAGTTTAAGCAAGTATGGAGCTCCTTTACCAACACCTTCCCATGCTGTTGCCTCTTCCACATTCACCCACCAAGCAAAAATTCTCCACAGCCCTTAGTGATCACTAGTGTTTTCAAGAAGATTTTCTTCTACTTTTACCAGCTTGTCTAAACTTGGGTTGTCCCCATCAGTCTCTTTTCCCTATTATACCCACACCACTGCCAACAGCTGTTCGGTCACTGAATCACTGTGTGACTCAGAAAACAGCAGGAAGACTGGACTTATGTTCAGGTAACTTGTGTGAAAATACGTAGCAAATTATACAAAGCCTTTAAATGCATTAAGCCCATAATTAGATTACATAGTTTGGCAAAACGTTAAATATTTATTTACTTGAGGTTTTAATTTTAACTATGAAGAAAAAGTTAAGAGTTTCATTCAGCTACTTTTGAAACAATAACAGCAACAATAAATTCTCTACCCATTAAATGGAACAAATCATCATCCACTAAGAGATAATCAAGAGAAAAAAGATTCTTTACCTGAAGATCAATTTGATCACTTTTTATTTTCAAAAAAAGTTACAGAATAATACAAAAGTTACATATGACATGACAGTTGCCATGTTTTATTTAATTTTAACAGTATAAAATCAAGCAACTTTAATGTGCTGTTCTAGACAATTTGGCAGTCAAGTAGCATTTCCCTGATCACAAAACAAAACCACTTCTTCTTCTGGCTCATTTCAAGAAATTAAGGTGAATTCACATTTTAATGTAACATGTGCAAGTTGTAACTTGACTGTGGTAAATTGTAAAACATGAAACAGAGAATTGTACAGTAGTGTGCTACTCTGACACCTGGATTTAAGAAATCGACTTTGAATTAGATTAAAACATTATCAGATATCAGCCACTTTGTACAACTACAACCTTCTCATGAAAAATAATGAATAAAGGGTCACCTGATAGAGATAAACTAGTAAATGGATACCATGTTTAGAAGAAATACTTTGTTTAGGGATGAAGAAATTTGGGTTCTCAGCCTGATTTCATCCCTTACTGCTTACATAATCTTGAATAAAACACAAAGATTGATGAACCACAGGACCTCATCTGTAAATGTGGAAATAATAACAATATCCCATCTCCCAAGATAGTTGTACGTATCAAAAAATATATATATTTATATATAAATGTATATATTTATATTTGTATATTTATATACATCTGTGTATAAATATGTATATTTATATATAAATGTATATATTTATATTTGTATATTTATATACATCTGTGTATAAATATGTATATTTATATATAAATGTATATATTTATATTTGTATATTTATATACATCTGTGTATAAATATGTATATTTATATACATCTGTGTATAAATATGTATATTTATATACATCTGTGTATAAATATGTATATTTATATACATCTGTGTATAAATATGTATATTTATATACATTTGTATGTATATTTATATACATGTGTAAATATATATACACATTTATATACAATGTGTATATATTTATATACATATTTTTATATACAGTATATAAGTAGATTCATATATATGAAGTATGTGAGTATATATATACACTTTGGAAGCTATGAAAGAAATGTGAAAATATTAAAACATTATCATCTTACAGTTTTAGTCATATAACAACATTCAATAAATGCTTGTCAAGGAAAGAAATAACAAACTAAAGTTGTGCATGTAAAATAGAATTCAGCTTACAAAAAATTCATTTTAACTGAAACTAGGAAATTTCCTAATGCTAAAATCAATTTCCAAATTACACAGGGGATATAATCATGATACTAGAAGTGAAAATACAAGTTGCTACAATGGAGACATGTCAATTAGTTTTTTCAAATGATTAATGATTTTCCTCAAAATTTGTAACAATGAAAAACTAAATGCCTATTATAATAATCCTAATTTTGTACAAAATATTCCTGGTTATCCTTTTGAGAAAATGTCATCAGAATCAATGTCCAACAGTTAACGATCATTCCTTATTATTCAGCAACCACTCTCACTTTTAAATGCATTGTTGTCCTCACAAAAATATCAAGGAAATTTCCAAGGTGTGTGTTGAGGGGCAGAGGGAGTTCAAAAAGAAGCTGAAACAAGAGCTGTGAGTTGAACGCCAGAGTAGTCTTGTGGGAAAGCATGAATCCTGGCGCTGCATTCAACAAACCAGTTTCAGACTCTCTGCAAGGTAAGGTCTCAACCAGAGTCTCCCATATTAAGCCTGGATCATATCCTAAACTGCTCCCAGGTCAGTCCTGTGCTCTGACTCCTGGCAAACACCTCTGAAAGAGCATCTTTAATTTAAGTCCTCAGGATGCTCAATAAAAGAGAAACTCACAACCATACAAGAAAACAAGGCTCCGCAACTGACAGGCAGTCAGCCTAGAAGCAGTTGGTTTAGACTCCCCAGAACTTTATATATAGTTATCAGATACAAAACACAAAATAGCCATGTATTAATCATTAAATAAATAAAAGGATGTTTTTAACAAAAAAGAAAGGGTAAAAAAGAAAAAACAAGAGGCTGCCAAAACTCACCTGGTATATGTGAAAATAAACAGAGAAGATTTTTTAGAAGTGTTTTTAAAAATCTAATAAATGACCAAGTTAAATTTATCAGGAAGTGCACAGTAGCTTAGTATTAGAAAACCTGTAGATGTATTTCTTCATATTAACATAATGAAAAGGAAAAAAAAGACTTACTACATTTTAAGTATATTTGATAAAATTAAATATTTTAATATTTTTAAGCCCACATTGTAAAAATAAAAGCAAACATTTAAAAGCCCACATTGAAAAAACAAAAGCAAAGAAGAAATAAAATAAAATTTCTTAACAAAATTTTTTTTAAAAGTTTAAACCCTTGTAAGATGCATTATTTTGGATGGGAGAATATTAAAAATATTCTGTTTAAAATCAGGAAAAAGAGCAAGACAAGGATGTCTAGTATCAATGGCTCTATTTAACACTATATTAATAATTCTGACTCATGTAAGAAGACAAGGAAATGAAATAAAGAATATAAGAAGCAGAAAGGAAGAACTCAGACTGTCATTATTTACAAATTATATAATTGCTAGGTAGAGAACTTAAGTGCATTTAGAAACAAATTGTCAGAATTAACGAAGAGTTTAGAAAGGTAGGTTAGTTCAATATACAAAAAATCATTTGCATTTCTTTATGAAAACACAGTTCAAAAATATGATTTAAAAAGAAATACCATTTACAATAATAATAAAAAATAAGATACGTAGCAAAAACTAAGATGTGCAAGACATGTATAGAAGAAATTATAATGTAAAGATGTCAGTTCTTCTTAAAATGATCCACATATTTTGTGCAATTCCAGTCAAAATCTCAACAGTGTTTTCCAAGGAACTGGACAAGTTAATCCTGTAATTTGCATGGAATAGTAAAGGCCCAAGAAAAAAGGCAAGCTGTGCCTAAAAAAGAATGTATGGTGACTTGACCTATTAGCTTTTCAGATATCAGGACTTACAGAACTATTAATTTAAATAGTGTTATATTTAACATCAGATTTAAATCTGATTCAGACAAATCAGATTAATGCAACAGAACGCCAAGGACAGAAACATAAGCATATATGTTTACATATTTATATACCACATGACTGGGAAACAGGTGAACCTCTAATAAATTGTGCTGTGATGGTAACTAGCTCTCCACACTGAAAAAAAGAGGGGGAATTGGGTTCTTTACAAAAACAAACTGCAACAGTTTAACAAACGAGTAAGATTTGGAATAAAATATACAATATATTTATTATCTTAGGGAAAGGACAGATTAAGATTTCTTAAACAAGATACATAAAAAAGAGTAAATCACAAAGGAACTGATTATTAAATTTAACTATATCACAAAAGCCACCATAAAGACGGTGAAAAGACATGCTACAAGTCAAGGGAAGGTATTTTCTTTTTTTTTTTTTTTTCACTCTTGCAAAAAACTGTGTTTATTTTCAGAGATACCTTTGAAACTTCAAATAGACAATGACCCTTGCTCAGTCAACCTGCAGCTACCTCTTCATCTCCTTTTTTTTAAAATTATTATTATACTTTAAGTTTTAGGGTACATGTGTACAATGTTCAGGTTAGTTACATATGTATACATGTGCCATGTTGGTGCGCTGCACCCACTAACTCGTCATCTAGCATTAGGTATATCTCCCAATGCTATCCCTCCCCCCTCCCCCCACCCCACAACAGTCCCCAGAGTGTGATGTTCAAGGGAAGGTATTTTCAATACGTATAACCTACCACCAAAACATTATTATCCAGAATCTATGAATCGGTTTTAAAAAGACAGACTATCCTGTGAACAATATTGATAAATGACAGATTGCATATTTCACAAAGAAGGACATACCAATGGCAAATAAATATTTTTTAAAATATTAACCCTTATTTATATATGGAGAAAATATGTATATCTCTGCACCAAATGTTAACTGTTCTTTTTCAGTTATCTGTTTTAACACAGATAGTAGTAGCATAAAATAAGAAAGAATCCAAATGTCCATGGATAGAAAAATGGAAAAATAAATTGTGGTATTTCCAAATAATAGAATACTACATGCAACCACATGCAAAAATATTTCTGATTCTTATAATCATAGCACTGATATTTGAAAATTGCAGAAGACAACATACAGTATGATTACATTTTGATGAAGCAAAAGCAGGCAAACATTAACAATTTTGCTTAGAGAAACATGAAAATGTAGTAAATCATATTTATAAACAAAAGATTTGTAAACACAAAATTCTGGATAGTGTTAACCTCTATAGAGAAAGCAAGGGCAGGAAGAAGCCCAGGGTAGCTTCCCCCACTGGGAATATACAACATTTAAGTTGGATAGTGAGTTATTTGCATTATGCTTTATATTGTATATGTTATGCATATTTTTGTATGTATCAATTCTTACATAATTATATTTTAAATATAGCCTCAACAATAAAAAAACTCATCTATAGAACTACATCTATAAAAATAAGATTAAGATAATACTTCTTTTACATTCTACACATCTATTTTTGACACTCCTTTTAAAAGTCCATCTAAGCACAGCAGAACAGTTTGGTAATTTACAGTATTTTCTTTTTGTTTTAATTTATTTTTTCTGGGATTTTACAATATTTTCATTCAAAGTATGTCAATATGCTACTTATCCATTATTATGCAACATATATATGTTTTATATGTATATGTATATCATACAGTGTGTGATGACATATTAACTAAGAAACTCACCTAATGTAAGCCTATGGAGCAAACAGCAACTCACTTCTTGAATTCTTTCACTCATAGGGAATGCTTTCATAGCTTCCACCACAATATTATAACACCTGACATTGCCACTCATGAGGACTTCCACATTATTGCCTGAATTTAAAGAGATCATAATTATCAATAAGGTAACCATGTTCTCCTTTCAAATATGCATACAAAGACGTCTTATATAGACTGTAAATAGATGGCAGCATAATGACTGCATTTCCAAATTTAAACATCATGTTCTTTAAGTAGCTGTAAAAAATACTATGCTGTTCATTAATAACATAATGGGGTGTAGGACTAATCTTTGGCATTAAGGAAAATTTACTTTATTCCTGTTTCTTGGCTTAAAGCCTTAAGATCAAAAAAAGGAAAAATTCAGAGTACTTTTAGTACTGAAAATGAAAGGAAAAGTACTGAAAATGAAAGTCTGGAAATGTAATGTATTGGTCATAAGTTTTCAGATAAATAAATTGGAGGGTCTATTTCTTTTTTTTTTTTCCAGACACATCTTTATTGAAAATTGCCACAGAAATAGCTGCTAATTGTGTTGTGATTGACATAGATTCTGCTGTTACAGGTTGTGTGAACTTAGTCACGTTGTTTAATCTTGTTGGTCAGTTTTCTTGTTGGTAAAATAGGGACAATAATGTAACATATTTTAATAGATGTGGTGAATATTATAGAATTTAATATGTAAAGTGCTTAAAGTTTTATCTCCCATATAACTATCATCACAATCTTCATCATTATCACAACCATCATCATCGTCATCCTGGAACTATAGGATAGATAATTTCTGAAGTCCTATTAGATATGGCTCATGTTATATTGCTTACCTTTTTTTTTTTTTGATGTGGAGAAATAGGAACACTTTTACACTGTTGGTGGGACTGTAAACTAGTTCAACCATTGTGGAGGGTCTATTTCTTAACGAGGCTCAACCCCATTGGAGAATGACTTTTGCATTGTTTTTTTTTCCCCAACCAAAAGAAAGAAAATCAAGAATATGTCACCAGATGGAACAGTTAAAATCAGCTATGACCTGTTTCCTCCATTCCAGAAGGGCAACCAATGTACAAGGCAGCAAAATCAAGCTTCCTGAAGGCTCCAAAATAGGTGGAAGAAAAGATGGGAGAACGAAAGAGAGGAGGCATAATATTAAAATATAAGTCTTAGGGACAAACACAGGTAAAACAGAAAGGAAAGAAAGACTCTACCAGAAAAAGCAATTAATCAATAAAGGAAGTGAGGTGTGAACCTACATGGAGAAAACATGTATATCTCTGCATCAAATGTTAACTGTTCTTTTTTTGTTTAAAAAAAGGCTGTTTGCAAAACATTTTAGTATTTGTTTTGGCACAACCAAAACTAATCAACTGTTTTCACAAAAAGTATATTACAATGCTTAAACATAGAAAAAAAATTAACAACGTAAGGAAATGAACTGCTTTGACTCAGAACAATAGACTTAAAGACTGAAAAGCAAATGTTTTTCAGTTAGAATCAGTGTTTTAAAAACTTTTGATTTCTTAATTTTTAGCTGCTACTTTCTTGACTTTTGCATTATGAATCAACACATTTTTACTGGAGTTATGTCCAATGTGGGTGGAAAACAATGGATTCCAAAAACCTCCAGCCCAAAATAAATAAATAAATGAATAAATATAGCCAAGGAAAAAGTATAATGAAAAACATATTCAGTTTGTTGGCAGTGATGTCTCAGAGAAATGTAAAACCATGGCCTTTCTCTATTATTGTTCAGCCCCACCCACTTTCCAGTGTTTAATTTCCTGTGGATAAGAAAACATTGTGATTTTATAAACATCACCAAAAAAAAGCATTCTTTCACAAGGGCATTGGGTTTTACTCTGCCTACACCGAAGGCTCACACCTTCAGATTGACACAGTGATTTCCATATCTGAAACCATAAATGCAATTACATATAGTATACAACACACATATAAAATACATATTGTCTAATAATCCTGTCAGTGATTTTAGAACACTTATTACATACCAGGTACATTGTTTAACTCTAATCCTCAAAACTTCACATGTGTGAGGATGAAAATATCACTAGATAAATGCATATGTATATCCTGTAGAAACCCACACAAGTAATACATAAAATACAAAGTGTTAATGGTCACTTACAAAACAAAACAGAATATGAACCATTAATACAAAACAAAACAGAATATGAACCATTATTTTAGCCTAATAGCAATCATTGGTAGCATACACATCAAATTAATTTCTTCTGATTAATATTTTTGGTGAAAAATGTGGCTAAATTTCAAAGCCTCATTAAAATGCTAATCAAGAGTCACAATAAAATTCAAACTCCTTCATGTGGCTTTTTAGGCCCTTCATGCTCTCCACTCCATGTCTCTGGCCTCATTTACTGCCTCTTATCAAGCTCTCCCTTGCCTCTGTCAATGAAACACAAACGGATAGGATATTTGGGGATGTGCATGCACAGCGGCACACACGCATGCATGCACGCACACTCATAACCCCACACCTTTACTGAGCTACTTTTGTCTTCTTGAAGGCAGTCTGCTCTCTCTTGCTCCAGCATCTTTACATTAACCATGCCCACTGCCTGGGCCACTTTGCCTGCATTCTCACTTCAGGTCACACCTTCATGCACAGGAAGCTCCACTTATTAAATCTTTGCTAAGAGACACTGCCTCACTTCCTATTTGATCTCCTAACTCTAGGTACTTCTGCCATCTGCCATCACTTCTGCCACTGTAATCACCTCTGTACTTATCTGTGTCCCCCATTGTACTACAAGCTCTGAAAAGGTAAGGAACACATCTGTATTTTCCACGATTGTTTCTCCAGCACCAAGCCCACAGCCAACTTCAGTATAATGTCAGTGAATGTAAATTAATTAAATGAATAAATGAATGAATGGGTTGAGCATCCACAAGTTTCTAAATAATAAAAATATTGTTAAAATATACTCAGAATGAGATATATTGTAATTTTTCAGATACAAAAAATAAATAACATTTAAATGCTACTTACAAGGAATCGCTAGGGAATGTAAACAATGCAGCACATGAAGCACAATTTCCTCTTCATCTTTAAAATTTGTTAACGCACTTAACAATATCATATAATCTTTGTTCTCAACAAATTCAGTCAGTTGCTCCTCTGAGACTTAAAAATGAAAGACAAAATACTGAATAAGCTTAAAGATGATATGAAAGTTTAATTATTCAAAAATTACAATATTCATTATAGTTGTGTGAGATACATCAAGTGTAATCTCCTTAAATAAAAAATATATTTCTGTGAAGCAGCCCTTCCTAAGAATGTTATAATGAGAAAACAAGCTACGGAGATTCAAATAATTTTGTTTCGGCCTATGTTAGGTACTCCATGTTTTGAAATGTAAAAGTGCTAGTCAGCAAGCAGTTCTCAGAAAAACAAAATTATTTACAATTTCATTTGGGAAATTCTAGAGAAAACTGACAGTGACTAATAAAGATGGCCAACTGGAACTGGACATATTGCAATATTTAAAAGGGAGGCATTAATGGTAGGCTGCTGAAGGGCAGCTCGGCTAAATGTTTCAGTTCAAGAGTTGTCAACTTGAGCAAATGGCAAGTAATCAGACTTTGAAATACTCTGTCTTAGTGGTTTTCCATCAGACAGCAAAAATATAAATCATTAATTTTCACAATTAAAGTCATTTGATCAAGCCAGTAAGTTCCATTTGGAGTCATTGTTATTGGGCAACAACCTGAAAAACATGTATAAAATTATAGTTTATCTAGCTTGAGAATGGCGCCAGAAATATGTTAGAAAACACAGCACTCTAAGTGATCAACATTCATTTTTTTTAATTTTATGCCAGAGTGTCCCTATAATATAATGTGAAATCAGTTAAGTTTTCCTAACAAGTGAAGAATATCATGGAACTTTCTCACTTTATGGTCTAGTTTCCACAGTACACTTTCAAATTTTGAAAATTAACTTTATAGTCACCCCTGAGTCCTGGAGAACCTGATACTCCTGGAAAAATCAGAAATTTTTCTACTCTACATTTATAGTCATAACCCTCTCAGCACTGATGGTTTTTCTATTGAGCAACATTCTTCTTTGTAACATTCTATGGTCTACCTCCAGTGTCTTAGATGGACTAAACAACGATGGTGATAAAGTGATGCTAGCCCTCCTTCCAGGAAGAAGAATGTGCCCCTAACCTTCCACACAGAAGATTACAGACCCTGCAAGACAATAGAACCTCAAACTTTATCCTAATTGTCATCGAAAGCTTAGTTGCAAGATAGAACATTTATACATGACAGCCTGAAGGAATTCCGTACTCGCTGTAAACTATCTTCTACTTCACGGTGTATGATTATCAAAGAGCTGGGTACCAGGCCCATGCTATTCTGACTTTTGACAGAGTCACTCTCGCTGCAATACACTTTGTATTCCTTGCAAAATGTATGTCCTTTATTGTCTCATCCAGGAAAACCCATGGGAAGATGTTTCTCAGATCTCCCATGAGACCAATTGCTTCTCCTGAATAATAGGTTTACTTTTATCTTAAGGAACTTTGTAACCACTGATATTTACCTCTTTTCTTTGTCAGATAGGAAGCAAACAGACAAATTTCTGGCCCACCCCTTTGTAAATATGCAGGACCTTAGAAACACAGTAAACTTAATCTAGCTTTATATTATTGTCCCTTCACCTATTTTCTCATCCATTTTGTTTACTCTTGTGTATTATAATTATCTATAAGCTGTTTAAAATCCTTCTGGGAGGAGACAGGGAATTCAACAGTTATCAGGTGATCTATCCCATTCTGGGAACTGCAAGAAATTAGACTGGTAAACTGATAACTGACACAGGGCCCACATAAATCATTCTTATCTAAACCCCTAGCACAGTTGGCTCTCATAATGATACAAAAGGGGCTCTTAAAATAATTGCTAATTGAACTGTACTGTCACAAGCTCTGTGTCCTCAGGCAGGATGCTCACTTCACTGCTGTGACCCACTTCCTCCTAAGGTCAATGGAAAGACTAAACAAGGACTCCAACCAACTCTAAAATTACATAATAATCTCAGTTATCAATCTCAGGGCCAGGCTATGAAATGCATATTAGTCTTTTTCCTGAAGGACACTTTGTAAACCTTCAGGCTCTTTATGCAATTTCTATGATTTCTGGTGATGACTCAACATCATAATCCCAGTGTAACCTATGCTTGGCTTCACAGTTTTATTTTTTCTTTCATAGCACCCACACATCCAGTTTTCAAAGTAAACCTTATGCCTTGTTAAGCAATTGAAGAAAGTCTACTCCAGGGGCATGATTTATAACCCACGAATGAAATTCACCCCACCAAAACAAGCAATACTTCTGAATTAACCCCATTCCTCACCCTTGACAGACAACTCCCACTTCTTAATAAATAGTAGGATTTTAGAAACCTTCTTCTTATTATAACTGTGTTCTACTTTTCCCAGTATAAGCCTTTTTTTCTTATATATACTTTAAGGAATTTGACATTTTAAAATACCTCTCTCAAACAGCACATGTAAAGCTTTGCATCCAAGTTTCTGGACTTCATCATTGGCTGGAAATGAGTGCATGGCATCAAAAATTAACATGAAAATATCACTTTCTTCATCCAATATCAGCAAGGTGATTTTACCTATTTTAAAGAGAATAATATGCTCTGAGTAAAGAGCTGCTTTAACATTTAATGTGTTAATTTTTACATGAATTAATTTTTACATGAAGACTGTGAATGGTTTGTAGACCCATGGTTTTCTTGTTTGTTTGTTTGTTTGTTTGTTGATAAACTACTTAACTGCCCTAGATGTTAGACTTATCAAGCTCTAGATCTTTATAAATGAGATAAACTCCCAGTTCACTTTACTATAATTTCATGAGTCTCAATCAGTACTTCTAGCCTAGACAACTTGCCCCAAACATCTGAAATACATTCTTATGCCTCTTAGACAACATCTGAATATTCCACAGTTACCCCAAACCTGGCCTACTCCTGTTCCCTGTCTTCATCAATGATACCATAATCCACTAGCTACCCAAGAGAAACTCCTAAGTCATCTTCCTTCTTCCACCCTCCTTTCTCTTCTCATTCTCTATCCAAGCAACAAATCAATTCATTACCAAGTCCTTTAAGAATATCTCCTACACATCTTGAAGATTCCTTTTGAACAAAACTCCTTTTGAACAAGGCACCTTCATTCCTATTGTGTTTTGCATTCTCATCTAGAATGCAAAAACAGTTGCTTAATTGCTCTACAGTCCCCAATTTCTATCCAACTGGTTTATTGCCTGCATTATATTTCTAAAACACAAATGTGGTCTTGCAAATCCCTTGCTGGAATCTACTAAGATCTTCTCATGATCCTTAGTATGAAAAACAAGACCTTTCACACAACCGACTATAGTACATGTATCTCATCAGCTCCTTTCCTTCCGCACATTGTCTTCACTCCAAATATGCTAAACTCTGCTCCTCACTAAACATTTTTTTTTTGGTATCTCTTCGTACTTGGACTAACTGCATGTCACACTCTTGCCTTTTACTATACCAAACATTTCCTATCATAATCCAAAACTTAACACAAACAGCATCTATTCTGTCAATAAAAATAATAATACTGGAATAGGAGTAGTAGTACTGTATGAGGCTAACTTCAATATATTCCAGTGTTGGTAGATTTTTCATATTAATAAACCCTCATCTTCCTGTCCATCGCCAAATGGAGAATGAATCTCCGTCAAAAAAAAAATACCTCCCAAGGGTGAGGTTAAATTAAATCATGGTTAAAGACTCTTAGTGCATGCCATACAACATGGTCATAAAAAGCTGTAGTGAAATGTTGAGTACCTTCTTGTTTTTCCCTCATACTCTCATCTTCCTCTTTCTCCAGCATGGTCTTTACATCTCTTAGCAGGACTGATGAGGACAATTCAAACCTTCCCAATCACACGTCCAGCCTCTCTCATGCTATCCTCCCAGGCCTCTGCACCCATACTTCTCTCAACCTAAAAAGCCCTCCCCTACATGGAAGGAAACTCCTCCCAGCCCTTCAAGATTAGCTCCCTGTGAGCGGCCTTTCTTCTCGGAACCTTATATAATAGCCAGTGTCCAGCACAGCAATGCCCACAACTGTTGCATCATTTCAAGATTTTTTGTTTTCAGGTCCATTATCTACCAGGCCAAAGTTTTCTCAGGGAAGGAACCTGACATGGAGAATCAGACCCTGTTTCTACCTCTTAGTGGCCAAAGCAACTTCTCTGCACTTCAGTGTTTGTCACTTAGAAAACTGAGATAAAATCCCTATCTCAAGGGGTGTTTTCAGATTCAGGTGTTTAAAAGCACGTGAAGCATTTTACTTGTGAAGCCTGGCATCTAGCAAATACTCAAGAAGTAATACTATGTGTTTTCAAAATGTAACGATTATGGCATACTCCAGAACATATATTATAGAAAATTTATTAAAGATATATAGGGAGAAAGAAGTAATAATGGCAAGGGCAGGAATGACCACTAACCTGGGGGAATATGAGATGTAGGTCCAGATTTTGGGAGCAAACATCGGACTACCAACAGAGATTTGGGGATAATATATAAGGTAATGTTTAAAACCAATGTATTGAATGAGATTTTTGAGAGGCAAAGTATAGAGAAAAGAGATAAGGAGAAGAGATGGAAACAGAAAGAATTTTGGAAATAACTGATATTTAGATTATATTATGGCTGTCCCATCACTAGGTCTAAAAACAGATGCAATTTTAGGACATTTAAATCAAGCTACCCTAATCCTGATCTTCAAAAAAAAAAAAAAAAAAACACACACACACACATTTACTTAATGGTATCAACTTTTTTTTTAATTTGAATCAACACAAAAAACATATACACATATTACCTGAAGTTAGGAGGAGATCTAAGGTCTTCAGTCCAATCACTGACAAGTTTACACTGGCATTATGAACTGTTAGCATTTTAAGAATCAATCTGGAGTTAAAAACAGAAATCAAGATAAGAATGAAATATCATACTCAAAAGTTTGCTTATTTGCATTTTTTTTGCTCACCTATTTTTTATTACTCTCATTGTATTTAATTCCCTGTAGTGAAGCTCATGTGTTTTTGTTGCCTGCTTTTAGAGACAGGGTCTTGCTGTGTCACCCAGGCTGGAATGCAATGGTGCAATCATAGCTCACTGAAACCTCAAACTCCTGGGCTCAAGTGAGCAATCCTCCTGCCTCAGCCTCCTGAGTTGCTAGGGATACAGGTACATGCCACCACACCAGGCTAATTTTTTCATTCTTTTTTGGAGAGACAGGGTTTGCTATTTTGCCTAGGCTGGTCTAAACTTCTGGGTTCAAGTGATCCTCCTGCCTTGGCCTCCCAAAGTCTGGGATTATAGGTGTGAGCCACCGTGCCTGGCCATGTGTGTTTGTTTCTTTCTACAAACCTGAACCAGGCTTATAAAAACTAACAGGGAATGTTAATTAGCTTGATTGTGGTGAATAATTCACAATGTACACATGTCAAATCATCAATTGTATACCTTAAATATAAACAATTTTTAATTGTCAACTATACTTTAATAAAGTTAAAAAAATAAAAAAAAATCAACAGGGGACTATTATGTGTCTCATTTAAAAAGTTAAAAGCACTACTTATTTTCCAATAAATATTCAAATTCAAATATTCAGATTCACTATTTTCACCCAACTCCATATTCAAAATATCATGAAGCCTTATATACATCGAGAGCAAACCCATTTTTATATATGATGTAAATTTATAAATTATCTTAGACATGTTGATATATTAAAATATAGAGATATAATAAAGATGTTAGTTTGTGTATATAAATTAAGAATTCATTTGAATATTTAAATTATTGATTGCTACTGTTTTTAAAAGAGAAATTAATGATATATTAAAAAGTAGTGGGCCGGTGGCCGTTGCTCACGCCTGTAATCTCAGCACTTTGGGACGCCGAGGCGGGGGGATCATGAGGTCAATAGATCAAGACCATCCTGGCCAACATGATGAAACCCTGTCTCTACTAAAAATACAAAAATTAGCTGGGCGTGGTGGCGTACTCCTGCAGTCCCAGCTACTCGAGAGGCTGAGGCAGGAGAATCACTTGAACCCGGGACACAGAGGTTACAGTGAGCCGAGATCACGCCACTGCACGCCAGCCTGGCAACAGAGAAAGACTCTGTCTAAAAAAAAAAAAAAAAAAAAAAAAAAAAAGTGAATTTAGCATATCAATAATGTTTAGTTAGTTCAAGATAAGATTTTAATCCCTATGTTATTAATCCCAAAATATAATCTCTAGTCTATTCCTGCAAAGCATTGTTTGGCTTTACATTATTGGAAGAAGACTGAGCTGGCCACATCTAGAGTTTTGTATGTATTCAAGAAACGTTGCATAATCTCCATTTGGCAATTGGAGGACCTGAATGAAGCCAGTCTTCGATTCTCTGCCAGCCTTCCTCCTAATCACCCTGCCCCTACCTCTCCCTATACCATTCCCACAATTCCTGACTTTATTACCACGGAAGAAATTTTTCTTCAGTACTGGTAAGTCTTTGGAGGGAAAAGGCCTTGAAAAAAGAGAAATCTGTTTTACAATCAATTTTTGCTGGGAGTGATCTAATACACTCCACTGGAGACAGCAGTGTGTCTATCTTCTTCACAACTGCATGGTTTCTGACCCAGAGGACAGGCTTCAAAAACATTCAATGAATAGAAGATGAATGACTGGATGAACAAAGTGAGTGAATGAGTAAGTGAGTGAGTGAATGAAATTTCCTACATAAACTTTTATGTAATTTAATTTGAACAGTTGGTTTGTACAGGAATATGACTAGATGAGTTTCCCAAACACTCCCTGAGGTTATAGACTGGCTCATCTTTGGACTTCCTGGAAATTATCACCCAAACCAAGGGACATTTAAAGTTACAATTCCTAATTACTGGTATATTTTGAGTAATTCCTCATCAAATGCTGTATACTTTAGAACTGATACATAGAATTACAGAGATTAGATTGAAGACGAGAACTCCAATTAATTGTAAATATGCTCTTTCCAAAACACACCCTTTATGTACTGAAAACAAGAAGAGCAACACATTTGTCAAAGAGGGGAAAATGTATAAGCACAGACATGTTCACTTATGGACAAACACATAGCTCTAATTTGTCTAAATTTATAGCACTACTTGACACTGATCAGCAATACAAACACCTGAAAATTTTTCATAAATTAAATTTTCATAAACCATATACCATTGGAAGCCAAAAAATATTCACAATTTCCTTTTCTGTGATAAAGAAAAGTCATATTAGGTATAAAAAAGATTTAAAGTTAATGACAAAAGGTTTGTTTGTTTGTTTGTTTTTGAGACAGAGTGTCGCTCTGTCACCCAGGCTGGAGTGCAGTGGTGCAATCTCGGCTCACTGCAACCTCCGCTCACTGCAACCTCCGCCTCCCAGGTTCAAGTGATTCTCCTTCCTCAGCCTCCTCAGTAGCTTAGAAGATATTTTTTAACTGTCAAGAAACAAAGCTATCCAAAATGTATTTTCCTGGAAACACATTCTTCTTGAGAAAATATTTTCTTAATTAATGATGGCTAAGGAAGTAGTCTCATCTAAGAAGCCATTATGCTGCAAACTGCAAAAACATAGCTGGTAAAATTACTATCAAGATTTGGCTACAGATGTGCTGAAAGTTAATTTCCTCTTTCTTAACTCTTTCTGAAAGCCATAGTTTAAACTTACTGTATATATAGGAATATATATATAAATGTACTATTTAAAGACAGTAGAACATCAACTTTCAAATTACTACTTACAGAACTAACTTTTCTCAGTTCCCATTTTTTTAAGAACTAGTGGTTTGTATCGATTCTATTATTAAAAGCCAAAATCTCTTCATGGTTTGAATTCAAAAGTACTCATCAAAAATCTACAACTTAACCAGTTTTATAATTATATGATTATATTATTAAAATAATAACTTCTGACATGTTACCTTAAATGTTTGCTTTCTAAATCAAACTTCTGAGTTTAAAGCTCTCTATAAATGTAAATCATTGACTCAAGGAAAAATATCTGTATTTTAAAGAATTCCACAGGAGTAGCCTTGGATTGCAAACACAGTGTATCAAGGGAAGGTTGTCATGTGTACAAATAAATACTCAAGGCCATTTGTTTTACATATCTATCATACTTACTGGTGAACACCAAGGACTTCCCAATCATTTCCAACATCCTGGGGTCCCATTAAGCTTTGCATTGTACCTGGACAGACTTCTATTAATTTGCACAGAAGTGACCAACCCACCTGAAAACAAGAAAGACATATATTCACATGTTTTAAAGAATGTTAATAGAGCATACTCAGTCAAACATGAATCTCTTCAATCTTAGTGGAATAGATGCTTATCTCACTTGTAAACAATGGTTATACAACAAAATGATACCCTAAAATGCTTACCCAGAAACAAAAGCAAGCCGTATTCTTAGGATACACCTTTCTCCAAAAATCATACCAGAAAGACATACAAAAAATACAACATTTCAGCCGGCAGTTTGAGACCAATGTGGCCAAGATGGTGAAACCCAGTCTCTACTAAAAATACAAAAATTAGCCAGGCATGGTGATGGGCGCCTGTAATCTCAGCTACTCGGGAGGCTGAGGAAGGAGAATCGCTTGAACCCAGGAGGCAGAGGGTGCAGTGAGCCAAGATTGTGCCACTGCACTCTAGCCTGGATGACAGAGCAAGAATCCATTTCAAATATATATATATTATATATATATATAATTTAATTTATACATAATATATAATATATATAATTTATATATATAAATACATATAATTTCTAAATTATGAAGAACATAGACATGCCAATTGTCTAAATAAGGCAAAATAAAATAAACTATAAAAAATAGTTTTAGAGGTTGTACCAAGATTATTAAGTGCAAGAATGGCTATACCAGATCCTTAGTACTTTTTTTTTCTTGTTTTTTTTTTTTTTTTGGTTTTGTTTTTGTTTTTGAGATAGGGTCTCACTCTGTCACCCAGGCTGGAGTGCAATGGTGCAATCATAGATCACTGCAGCCTAGAACTCCTGTCCTTAGGTGATCCACCCACTTCAGCCTCCCAAGTAGCTGGGACTACAGGTATGTGCCACCACACCCAGCTAATTTTTTTTTTTTTTTTTTTGTGAAGACAGGGGTCTCGCTCTGTTGCCCAGGCTGGTCTCAAGCTCCTGGGCTCAAGCAATCCTCCTGACTTGGCCTCTCAAAGTGCTGGGATTACAGGCGTGAGCCTCTGCACCTGGCCCTTAGTAGGTTTTAAGTCATATCTACCTGACAGAATTTCCTCCACATATTTAAAATTTTAATTATAGGAAAAAATGAAGTGGCTTATAATGAAGGATTAGGTGAAGTTGGAGATTTTAGTAGCAAAATGTAAGTTATCAGAATGGCTGCTCCCCAAGTAATGAAGCTAGAATAATAGAGGCAAGAAACGTGGCATTTTTAGCAATTGAATCTACATCTGATAGGAGAAAAAGAGAAAGAGCTCTATAAAATAGACAGGAGGTAGAACTCCTCAATGGCTCCCTCCAGATTTCTCTAGAATGAATTGATAAGGTCTAGAGATCACAGACACCCCTAGTAGGCTCTTTCACATTTCGAAATAAAATATGAAATTATAGATGCATTTTAAGTATATCTTCACTCAGTCTGTTTACAAGATGCCAACTTGACTAAGTTGCTCTTTACCTCTGAAAAAAAAATTGAAAGTCCTGATTTCAAACCGGAGATGAAAATTAACCTATTCTTCCTACTGTAGACTCCTCCCTCTCTAAATGTAAAGGATCTCCAATTCATTCTATTATACTATAGAACTATACTTGACATGGTCAAAAAAAAAAAAAAAAAGAGAAAGTGCATATATGTACCCTCTAGAGACTAATGGAAAAGTATCTAAGTGTGATGTGTAATAAATACCAATATAATAGAAATACTGAAAGTAAGACTCAGTGTGAGTTGAAATTACTCAGAGAAGAATATAATATGAAGAGGTAGAGCTTAAGCCAGATTGTATAAGAACGGATGAGCGGTGAGGAGAGTAGGCTGCTACATGATAAGGAAGCTGCTACAGGGAAGAGGCTATTTTGGGATAAGGCTGGATGCATAAGTAAAGTTGAATATTGCAAGGAGTTGAATGACAAGGTGAGAAATCTATATGCACCCAATAAGGAATAATGGCACAAGTTTCTTACTCGCTTACGGGAGTAAACAACGGCTATTTTAGGAAGATAAAAATGATTACTCAAGATCTCTTTACAATATTACTTTTGGATCTTTTCCAGATTAAACATAAATTGCTTTATTTTGTCATTACTTCCTTTTACATAATTTCAAATTGCTTTCAAAGGCGGCAATTTCTGATAGCTATTTCTACCTATACTACTCAAGTAGGACATCCTCCTCCACGTAAGCTGAACAGACGTTGACAATCCAGCTGTCATAGAAACTGACTATTTTTGTGCTTTCATAGAATACATCAAGACTTTTTTCCGAACTATTTAAGAAAATAACATTCTGAACAGCTTCTGGTGGTAAAAAAAAAAAAAAAAAAAAAAAAAAAAGTCACATAGGATGCCAAACTCATCTCTGTACCTACAAAGCTGACTCAAGGAAAAAACCTGTTTGTTTTGGTTGGTGAAGCAACAGTATCAGTAAACGCTTTGCAAAAAGATTCAGGCAACTGAGCTCTCCAGCACTACATGGAACTTCTGTGATTAAATAGAATCTCTGGCAGCAAAGCAGAGGTAACAATTGATCCATTAATCTATTCAATTAAAAGCTTATCTCTCTAAGAGAGAAGGTTCCCATCTTGCACAGTTACAATACAATTAAATTGGTAGTTTTACTTTATTATAATTATTCTAAAAACTCAAGCATGTAATTAATGCACAACAGGAAAGAGTCTAGGGGTTAAAGAAAAAATTTTAGCCACTTTCATTTATTTTGCTCCCCTTCTTCAAAGGTTGAACCCTTGAGAATAAAGAGATGTAAAATTTAGGAGCACAGTGAAAAGATAGGCAGGAAAAGAAAAATATAAAGCACCTAGCTTAACCGTCAATTTTCTAAAGACTGTCATTTATGAAGAAACATTAATAAAATATGAAACAAACTTTGAAAATAAAACTGGCAGTCTGGAATATCATGTTAAATGGCATCTAGAAACAAACCTTAATCTTTATTTTAAATAGTAATTAAGAATTACTATTAAATTAAATGAAGGAGAAATTTACCTTAATACCTTAAATTTATCATTAAGAGTTTTTCTTTTGGCACTTCCAGCTAATTCAACATATAAAGCAGTAAAGGATACTTACAGTAATTATACTAATAATATAAAGAAATCTGAAGGAAAAATACTACTTTTAAGTGAGTATTAAAATGTCAGTAGGAGACCCCTTTCTACATCCCCTTGTTAAGACCAATGATAATTTAAATTGATGTCATTGTACCTAGCATGGCCACAGTATTTGTATCAAACCATTTTGCTTTTTACTAGCTTGCACAAAAAGCTTGCGAATTCAGCAGCTAGTAGATTGTATGATGGAAAGAGATTTTGAAGGTGTGAGAAGACTTGAGTCTTAGGTCTGTCACAAGCTCTTTGATCCTCAGTGAGCAGCTTACTCTCACTTCGCTATGACAGTAAAACATCCGGTAATATTTCCAGGAGGGCAGTGAGATTTCAGTGAGAATCAAATATTGGCTGTGCAAAAGAAGGAAACTAGATCCACAGCTTTCACCATATACACAAATCATTTCAAAATGGATTAAAGACTTACATCTCAGACCTGAAAATATGCAACTACTAGAAGAAAACACTGGGGAAATGCTACAGGACATTGGTCTGTGCAATGATTTTTGGGGTAGGACCTCAAAAGCACAGGCAATTACAACAAAAATAGGCAAATGGGATTATATCAAGCTAAAAAGCTTCTGCACAACAAAGAAAATAATTAACAAAGTGAAGAGACAACATAAAGAAAGGGAGAAAATATTTGCAAAATATCCATTCAACAAAAGATTAACAACCAGAATACATAAGGAACTAAAAAAACTCAATTAGCAAAAAAAAAAAAAAAAAAAAAAGTCTTATTTTTAAATGGACAAAAGATCCAAATAGACATTTCTCAAAAGAAGACAGACAAATGGCTAACAGGTACATGAAAAAAAAATCCTAAACTTCACTAATCATTAGGGAGAGGCAAATCAAAACCATAATGAGATATTATCTCACCACAGGCAGAATGGCTATTATCAAAAAGACAAAAAATAACAAATGCTGGTAAGGATGCAGAAAAAGGGGAATGGTGGTACACTGCTGATGGGAATATAAAGTAGCACAGCCATGATGAAACACAGTATGGAGGTATCTTAAAAAACTAAAAAGAGAATTTTCATATGATCCAGTAATCTCATCGCTGGGTATATATCCAAAAAAAGAACATCAGTATATCAAAGATATATCTGAACTCCCATGTTTATTGCAGCCCTGTTCACAATAGTTAAAATACAGAATCACCTTATATGTCTATCAACAGATTAACAAAGAAAATATGGAGGCCGAGGCAGGAGGATTACTTGAGGTCAGGAGTTTGAAACTAACCTGGGCAACATAGCAAGACTCCATCTCTACAAAAAGTAAAAAAAGAAAAAAAAATTAGCTGAGCATGGTGGCACATGCTTATAGTCCTAGCTACCTGGGAGGCTGAGGCAGGAGGACTACTTCAGCCCAGGATTGCAGGCCTGCAGTGAGCTTTGATCACACCACTGCTCTCCAGTCTGGGCAACAGAGTGAGACCCTGTCTCTAAATTAATTACTTAACTAAAAATAAAAGAAAATGTGGTATACATACACAATGGAATATTATTCAGTCATAAAAAATGAAATCCTGTCATTTGCAACAGCATGGGTGGGACTGGAGGTCATTAGGTTAAATTAAATAAGCCAGGTACAGAAATAAAATATTGCATAATCTCACTCATATGTAGGAGCGGAAAAGGTGGATCTCATGGAGGAAGAGAGTAGAATGGTGGTTACCAGAGACTGGAAATGAAAGGATGGGGAGGGATAAAGAGAAGGTGGTTAATGTGTACAAAAATATAATTAGATACAAGCAATTAAGTTAATATTTAATAGTATAGCAGGGAAATTATGGTTAATAATTCATTGCATATTTTAAAATAGCTAGAAGAAAGAAATTGCAACGTTGCCAACACAAAGAAAAATGTTCGAGGTGACGGATATTCCAGTTACCCTGATTTGAACATTACACATTGTATACATGTATCAAATAGCATATGTATCCCCAAAATATATACAACTATGATATATCCAAAAAAGTAATTAATTACTTTTAAAAAAACTCTTCCTTATTTTCCAGCATACTTTGCCTCTGGTACTCTCTAGGCAGAAATACTAAGTGACACTCATAACTACTCCGGACAAGTATGCTCAGGCTTGGGCAATTTCTAAAATTAAGAATTAGGAAGTATGTTCCAGGCTCCCCTGGGTTGTCAAGTATAGCACTGCCTTATCTAGACCCTGCAGACCAAAACGCCTACCCAGGATCTGACTGTCCTGAGCAGTATCAAGCAGGAGTGACTCTATCAAGTACAGAGTCTAGGGAATGAAGGTGGCCAGAATCAGGCACTTCTGAACACCAAAGCAGAGACAAGTAAGAAGGGATGACGTGGGTGCAGAGCAGGAAGCACAATAGGCCAGTGCCCAAAAAGTGACTCATATTCCACAGGCAAAATTCCGACTTTGAGTCTTAAAAGAACAGCATCTTTATTATGCCTCCATCTTTTCTTGGTTTGGTTTGATAGCAGCGTGAAAATCTATAATAGTCAGATGGAAAATATTTCACAGTTGAAAACAAATTAAAATATTTCTTCCAGATGTAAATGTCCTCATATCAAAGAAGCTAGATGGTTCACCCAGACTAGATACAGCTAGATACAGAGATAAACATCAAGATAAAGATAGACCCACACCACTTTAAAGATTGAGATGCCTCATGTCTGTCAAGCCTCTCAACCATTAAGAAACATTGGCTTTCTGACTGCACCTCCAAGGAGTTCAAAGTCCAATTCTCTTTCTCTGCATGAGTTAACATGCAGATGACAAAACTGATTTCAGTTCCCCAAATCTCTAAGTGCTCCGAAGGAAGTTATCACCTTGGCCTATAATTTTGTTTTGACTGTAAATCATTCTTAATTACCATTTTTAAGGCCCCCTTTAAAAAAAAATCCAAGATACATAGCAAATTTCTGGGTTTCCTATGGTACAGATTGTAAAAGTTTCACTTCTACATGCATTTTATATGACAACAGTTGCAAACTATGAGGGTCTCATAAGACATCACTTTCTTTAGATACTACAAGGTATACTACAACTAAAGGCTAGAAATCTTTGAATTTTAAAAAGTGCTGAACTCTACAAGAGTTTGCTAGTGACAAAGTTGCATTTTATCACTATTAATTATTCCCCTTTTCCAAACTATTCATAATCTTCTCATCTAGGACATGCTCTGTATTGGGAAGATACTTGGAATAGTCAAGTCTAAACACTAATGAATTCATCTTGCCAATAACGAGACTAAAACCGAACCCATTTTTATCCTCCTTCTACCACCATCCATACTGTTGGTTTTATAAAGTTACTTCTTAAAGACACTCAGGGAACACATACTGGGGCTCTTCATCCCGTTTACATTGCGTAATGATTTAACAATATTCCCATCTTAAAATCACAGTCAGAGGTTCCTCAAGCCAAATTTTGGGAATAACCAAGAACTCTCGGCTATATTAACATTGCCAGTAAAACGTCTCCTTCCAAACAGAAGGGAGAATGAGTTGAAGTGAAAACAATGCCTTTACCTGCTGCACACTCGCGACTCTCATATAGGAGTCCAAGACGATCAACAGAGGCACATGGATATTTTTGCCTTGAAATAACTTGGAGGCTGGAAAACAAGTGGGTGGGGAAAAGAAGCAAAGTCACAATCCACAGCACCCCCTCTCCTTTTTAGTCTGAAACGGGGAGAAAAGTCAAAAAGGTGAAGACCTTCCTGAAATTCTCAGCTGCTTTCTGCCCTAAGGAAAGGATATGGGAGTTTGCGGCTCCTTAAGAGTCCGGGTTTGAGCAGGGTCAAGGGGAGGAGGACAAAATTTGCAAATGTAAGGAGGGGGAGAAAGTTTGCAAAAATAAAAGCACAGTTTATTTTCAAGTGATTACCGCGCTCGGAGTACGTGAACACCAGCAGATCCTCCAGGATTTGGACCAGCGTTTCTATCTGTTTTCCTTCCTGGACATTGTTCAGCCTGACTATCAACTTCTTCAGAGTTTCCTCGTCCTCTTCGCACCCCTGACAGCTGCCACTAGCCATGGTGGCACCTGCTTCCAACCCGCCGCCCTCCCAGCATGAACGTCCGCTGCTCAGGGAACCGGCAGGGGCGCCGGCCACAGCTCCCCGGGGGCGAGCTCAGCTCACCGCCCGCAGCCAGCGCTCCCCGCGGGCCCCATCGGCGCCCACGCCCGCCTGTTTATGAGGAAGGAGGCAGCTCCCCGCCCCGCGTTGCCCTCCCTCTCCGGAGCCCTCCTGCTCGGCTTCCTCCTCCCCCACTCAGGCCCCAAAAACGAGCTCAGGGGCCTGCCAGAGGCTCCGCCGAGGCGACGGGCCGCGCAGAACTCTGGCGGCGGCCGTGGGGCTGCTGGAGCCGGGCCTGGCTGGGATGACCGTGACCGTGGCCCCCACGCACGCCTAGACCGGACCCCGGGCGGACGCCGCCTCCTGGGACCAGATTCCACCGCAGCGGCGGCGCGGCCGGGAGTCGCGCGGGAAGAAACTGACTCAGCGGACTCCGCTGAGTCCACAGGCCCGGAGCCCCGCAGCGGAGGCGCGCAGTGCGCAGCCCGGCCGGCCACCCTCCGCGACCCGCCAGCCGGGGATCCTGCGGCCCCACGGAAGGTCTGGGAACTGGGAGCAGGAAAAATGAAAGCCGCCTATCTCCAGATCTAAGAATAGAAATCAGGGCGCTGGGAAAAGAGGACACCGCCCAGATGGCCCCTTTTAGGAATACATTGTCTTTAGAGTTCCACCTATAGGGAGATGAGCAATTTTCCCCCAAAGGATGGAAAGAGGGGTTAGCCATCAAAACTGCCCCCGCTACTCTTTTTTATGATTTTTTGTGACTGTTAGTGGGAGAGGAAATAAACATTGTTTCCCTGTGAGTTATCTGAAGCTCTGGTCACCAAAAGGCCACTAAATTAACTTTTGGAAATTTGAGTTGCACTAGGCAGGATCCTGATACTTGGGACACCCGAAAAGTAATCAGCTCTCAGAGCTATTAGAGCTGAGACAAAGGACAGGGTACATGAAATGAAAGGTGAAAAGTTGAGAGAAGCAAACCTAAATACTCTTCTCTTGGTATTCAGAAATACTTATGAGTATGGGTGTCTATAACCCCAAAGTTTTTTGGTTTTGTCTTTTGATTGTTTGTTTGTTTGTTCTGTTAAGTACCTAAGTAATGTGTTTTTAGGAAAAGAAACCTAGCAAGAACATTGTAGACAAGGCTAGGCAAAGATGATCTATCCTTCAGGTGATGTGTCTGTCCTCAAGATCACTTACAAAGAAGAGGATTGGACTGGAAGTTACTACTTCACAATTTTAGTTTTGTTTTCACATCTGTTACTTCAATCCTGATGACAATTCTGAAATGGATACAACTACTACTATGTATCCTTCTTTCACTAGTGAGGAAATTGAGATTTGGAATTGAGAAGTGAAGAGCTTTGCTGGAGTCACACAGGTGGGAAGTTGAGAGCCAGGACTTCAACCCAGCAAATCTCCTAACTCCAGGTAGAAGGTTCTTCATGCTCTACCACTTTAATAAGAATGCTCTAGACTTTGTTAATACATTAGATTAGTAAGATAGCAAACTCCTACTCAACCTGGATATTGGGTCTATGTCTTGTTGTTATAGAGTCTTTAACTTTTACAGAGACATGCTAAAATATTTATAGTTGAAATGGTTAGGATTTCTTTCAAAGTCATCCAGTGGTGGAGGAAAAGATGAAATGTGTGGAGATAGAGATAACGATAACAACTTTTGAATTGATAATTGTTGAAGATAATATGAGATGGGTTCATGTGGTCTGTTCTACTATTGTATCTATATAAAATTTTCCATAATTTAACAAAAAACTCCCAATCTTACAATATTTATCAGACCTACAGTGTATTATTTTCTAAGTTGTTTCTAAACTTGTTTCCATTTCTGATGACTTAATCAATGTCTCAAACATTTCTAGGCATTCTCCATCTCATGCATTCCTTCTGTTCCTCTGCATTAGTTTCTCCCTTCCTGTTCTACTGAATTACAACCTTGCAAGAAATTAAAACCTACCTCCCTTCCAAAGAAAAATAAATCTAAATTAAAAGATGTCTCCTAATTTCCACAATTCATTCATCCATCTATTGCCTATTTATTATCTACTCTATATTGGCCAGACTGTGAGTAGACAGTGTGAAAATATGAATTATTTGTTGGGAGCATTCTCCCATGAACTACTGCAGTGTTAAGGTAAAGTATTCTCTTAGTTTTCAAAAATGTTTAATTGATTGACTGAAATTCCAAGATTTATCAACTCTTCAAGTAGTTAACAAGACTGAAAATGAAGATTAAGGCATGAATTTATGATGGAAGCAGGGTTCAGTGGAGAATAAAATGGTGCTAGAACATTTGGCTAATTTCCTGAAAAGAAAAAAAATAAAACTGACATTACTAATTACAGCAAACATCAAATAGATTAAAAAGTTAAATAAAAATAACTTCAAAAATAAAATATAAATTAATAGTTATATAATCTTGAAAAAGGAAACATAAAAACAAAAAAGAAATCACATAAGGGTAGTATATGTGACTCCATCAAATTTAAATTTTCTGCAGTCAAAGAAAAAATACCCAATAATGAAACTAGAAGTCAAACGGCAAACAGGAAGAAAAAATTTGAAATACATATGATGAAATACAATTTGCCTTCAACTTTCAAAAGTTCTTACAAATCACTGGGAGGAGGGTATTACGCCACAGATAGACCAGGAAAAAAAATAATAAACTAAGGTTTTGAAAAGGAAATTCATTTTGAATGACCAATAAGTATTTTTTAATGTCATCATTATAAAAAAAATGTGTTCCTAAACATGAGTGATGCACAAGCATAAAGTGCAATTGTGTGTGTGTGTGTGTATGATGACAATGAAAGGGAAACCTTGAAAATAAATTAACAAATATTTACAAAACCTTTATGAATAAATTATTGAACTCTGTTAAAAGGCATTAAAAAGGCATGAATAAATATTAATATCACATTAATTAATGGGAAAACTAAATTCAAAAATATGTCAATTCTCTACAAAGTAATAAAAAACAATGCAAGATTAGTGAAATTCTCAACAAGATTTACATAGATTTCAGCAAGATCAAAAGGCCTAGTATAGACTAGACACTTTTGAAGAAGGACAAGATGGGAGAATTGCCATCTTGTCCTTTTGGATGTCCAATTGACATCCATTCAGAGTATGTAGTAGCCTTTCTCTATCAATTTCTGAAGAAGGAAAAAGTACCCCTAGGATGAAAGCGGGGAGCCCTGAAAGCACATAGTTTACCCAGCAGGCAGTCTTTCTATGAATTAGAAAAAAGTGCCTTTTAGGTAGGCACAGCCTTATATCTGGGTGTATCAAGCAGGATTTGGATTTCAGTCTCTACCCTGGTGTTCTTATGGAGGACACAACTTATACAGTATAGGAAGCATTATACTTTTTTGAAGCTATAGAAATTAATTGGCATGTTATTGACACAGCTATACAAAGTGACCAATGAGAGTATAGAAAACCCAGAAACACATCTTCACATATATGGAAATGATATATGAGAGATGTTGCATTATGTATCAGTGGAAAAAAAAAGGGCAATTTGATAAATGAATCTGAGACCACTGTTTGTGGAAAAAGCATCAAATGATTATGCCTACCTCACACCATATTCAAAAATAAATTCCACATGGATTGAACATTTTTGTATAAAAAATGAAAACAGGCCAGGTGCAGTGGCTCATGACTGTAATCCCAGCACTTTGGGAGGCCCAGGTGGGATGATCACTTGAGCTCAGGAGTTCGAGACCAGCCTGGCCAACATGGTGAAACCCCGTCTCCACTAAAAATACAAAAATTAGCCAGGTGTGGTGGCACGTGCATGTAATCCGAGCTACTGGGGAGACCGAGCCAGGAGAATTGCTTGAACCCAGGAGGCAGAGATTGCAGTGAGCCAAGATCGCACCATTGCACTCCAGCCTGAGTGAAGAAGTGAGACTGTCTCAAAAAAAAAAAAAAATTTGAAAAAAATATAGAAAACTATCTGACATTAAGAGGGAAAGAAACAAAACAAAAATTACAGTTAAGGCCAGGTATGGTGGCTCACACCTGTAATCCAAGCACTTTGGGAAGCCGAGGTGGGAGGCTTACTTGAGGCCAAGAGTTAAGACGATCCTGGGAAACATAGAGAGACCTTGTCTCTACAAAATATTTAAAAATTAGCCAGGTATGGTAGTGCATGCCAGTAGTCCTAACTTCTCAGGAAGCTTGAGGCAAGGGGATCACTTGATTCCAGGAGTTATAGGTTACACTGAGCTACAATTGTGACACTGCACTCCAGCTTGAGGGACAGAGCAAGGCCCTGTCTCTAAACTAAAAAAAAATAAAATAAAATCACAGTTCATATAGGAAAAAATTATTAAATTTACAGACATTAAAATCTAACACTATACAAAAGACTCCATCAACAAAGTTAAAAGATGACCATAGGCTGGAAGATTTTGGGAAAGCGTGTAACAATTAAAAATTAATAAGAAGAATATATAAAAGGTACTATCACAAATTATAAATGAAAAGATAAGTATCCTAGTTTTTATATATATAAGTTTAAAAAATATGGCCAGGCACGGTGGCTCATGCCTTAATACCAGCACTTTAGGAGGCCAAGGTGGGTGGATCACTTGAGGCCAGGAGTTTGAGACCAGCCTGACCAACATGGTGAAACCCTGTCTTACTAAAAATATAAAAATTAGCCAGTTGTGGTGGTGCATGCCTGTAATCACAGCTACTTGGGAGGTTGAGGCAGGAGAATTGCTTGAACCCAGGAGGTACAGGTTGCAGTGAGCCAAGATGGCACCACTGCACTCCAACCTGGGCCACAGGGCGAGAATATGTCTAAAAATATATATATTATATATATATGTGTACATATATGTACATATATATGTACATTATATATATGTACATTATATATATGTACATTATATATATGGCAATATGTAGAAGAGGAAAGGCCAGTAAACTTCATGAACCTATCCAAAGATGCTCAATTACACAAGTAATCAAGGAAATAAAAATTAAAGCCATAATGAGATACCATTTCACAACCATCTCATTAACCACAAACTTAAAGTTGGATAATACCAGTAACTACTGGCTGGGATGTGGAACAACTAGAATACTTTTTGTAGTACTGGTAAGAGTGTAAATCAGAGCAAGCACCTTGGAGAGCACATGGCAAAATCTAGGAAAGCTGATGTGTCTATCCTATGACCTGACATTTTCACTCTAAGGCTGTTTCTTAAAGAAATTCTCAAATGTACATAAGGACATTTATGTAAGAATCTTCAGTGTATCATTTTTTGCTTATAATGAAACTGTAGACCATATGAATATCTATCAACACTTAAAGTGAATATATTCATATAATGAACTTTTATAAATCTGTGAAAACTATTAAACTAGAGCTCCATATATTAGTGGCTAAAGAGCAAAAAATTGTAATACTGGACTTTTTACAAGTTGCAGAGGATACTTATAGCATGATATCAGTGCTCCAATGCTATAAAATATGCAAGGTTTCATATACTTTAGGGATATATATGTATGTATAAAAGTATAAAAATTATACTTGGGAATAATATTTACCAAATTCTAGCTAGTGGTTATCTCTGGGGAGAAGAAAGTAGAAATGCATCCAGGAAGGATATTTTACAGGCTACAAGTGTATCTGTAACTTTCTTCTTCTTTAAGCTTGTCATTGGGTACATGGGTATTCATTACATTATTACCCGTATTCTGTTTCTAACTTATTTCATAATAAAAATAATTAAACATATTTTCAACTTCACTGATGCTCAAAGTAATAAATCAATACATTAACACTTTTCATTCACCAAATTATTAAAGAAGTCTTTGAAATTTGTGTGGGAGTTTCTTATGAGGAAATAATAAATTATTCACAATATATGAGAAAACAATGTCATGAAATTCCAGAATTTTGATCCAAATTTTCCAAAAACACCCAAAAAAGTGCATGCCTAATAAAACTACTGAAAGTAGATAAGACACACATGTAACAATGCTTCATGTTAGATGATGACATAAACAGTCAATTAACATAGTTTTGTATATGTGTTATATACTGTATTGTTACAATAAAATGAGCTAGAGTAAAAAATGCTATTAAGTATAAGGAAGAAAAAATACATTTACTGTTTATTAAGTGAAAGGGGATCATCATAAGGTCTTCATCATCATCATCTTCACATTGAGTTGGCTGAGAAGAGGAGGAGGAGGAGAAGAACTTGGTCTTGCTCTCTCAGGGGTGACAGAGGTGGAAGAAGAGGTAGAGAAGGTGGAAGAGAAGCCACAAAGTGAAGGCATCTAAGACTTATATGTGGAGCTACACAGTTCAATCTCGTATCGTTCAAGGGTCAACTGTACTTCATTGATAACTGAAAATTCCAGGAGGACATCCTGGATTTTGTTCTATACCAACTCTTCAAAACAGTTCCTGGCACACAGGAGCCATTAGAGGAATATTTGTTACTTAGATGAATAACTGAATGAATGGAAATGGAAGGCCAGAAGAATAAAATGATCTTCCCAAAGGCATCACTAAGAGGCAGAACTGGACTGTGTGATGCCAGGTTCCCAGTCCAAACTTTTTCCATCACTTTATTGTTTTTAGGTGAGTTTCATTAAACCAGAAATAAGCCATCTAATCGCTGAAACTGCACTTATCCTTTATCATCTGTGCCTTATGTATACTGAAAAAAAAAACATTTTTTCTGGTTTCTGAACTAGAGATAAAAATTACAACTGTGCTGTGGTATGATATTCTCATATCAGTTGAAATAATCACTCATTAAAGTCAAATCCGAGTCACTCTGAGATTATAACAGCAGAGTATTCACAGTCTTCACGCTTGGTTCCCTCAGAAAAGCAGTCTTCCAAAATTATATGGCAATATTATATTCTAGTTTAAAAGTTTTAAAAGTGCATGTGTATAGTAAGTGTATCAGAGACAACTCGAATGGTGCTGAAACCAAGCCATTGTCTATTTCACCCAAAACAGATCATTGCCTTTATGTTGCTGGCTATATTATAGGTAAAGAAATATTTATTGGATTAAATTAAATTATTAGTCATGATATTTAATCTCTGCATGGTATTTAATCTCTATTATATGAAGAACAAGAATAAAATGATGAATCTTTTCATCACCTTTCTTTATAGGAAAAAAGTAACTTGAAATTTCTTTTTGCAGAGACATTGTTTTTTCAAGTCAATAACTTTAAAATATCCTTAGAATATAATTTTATGACCTTACCAAAGGTAATTATAAAATAAAGACACAAATATGCTTATTTTCCAAATGAAAAAAATATGTTTGGATTATATCCTTCACCACTGGTACTAGAGTTTCGGAAAAATCCAGATTTTTTTTTTACTATCACATGGATGATTTTAATTAAACCTGCTATTAGGAGCACACATCTTTTTAGAGTATATTAAATATGGTTTTTTTACTTTGTTTAGAGTTCTGTGTGAAATTAATAAGAAGGCAAATTCTGACAAGAATTTATGTAGAAAGAAGTATATTTATATATAGAAACAAGTATCTCCCAGGGTATTTATTAAGTCAACAACTGTTGTGTACCTATTGTTTGTGGACTCTGCTGGGTTGGGAATGCAAAAGACCCAATCTCTACCCTGAAGCGGCTCACAATCTAGTGAGACAAATACTCAAACAATTAAGAAGCAATACAACACTGTTACATTATAATATACAATAGTAATTGCTATAAGGGGAGAAAGGGAAAGTTTCCTAAGACTGCCTAGAAAGTCCTGAGTTTGATGGACTCACCATGCTTAGAAAGGAAGAAAGAGAGCAGACTCAGGAATGTTAAGAAGTGAAAGAGTAAAAGGAGGCTCAGGAGGTACAGGGAGAGGGTGAGAGGAGAAAAAAGGAGTACAAGCAGCTACTTAAACAGAGAAGTGTTTACCAGTAAGGTCAAAAGCAGGAAGAACTGAAAAGTGCCCTTGAGATTGGGTAACAGTGACAACCTTACTGAGAACAGTTCTGCACAGTGGTGAGCTCTGAAATCCAAATGTAGCATGCTCACTGGGCTGTGAATGGGAATGGATGACTGTTTTACAGGTAAAGTTAATCTTCAGGTTTTTTTTTATATTAATGAGGTCACTTTTTTCCCATTGTAAGTATCTTTAAGAAGAGTATTTCTGAATCTACTTCTTGCCTCTTTTTATTATCTCTACATTACCATTGTCACCTTTTCCATAAAATTAGTGTTTCTCTCCAAGTAAAAGCAATAACCCTGCTAAAACACAATTTAAGTTGCTATAAACAATTGAAAACATACTTGTTTAACTGTACACAACAAAAGGAACATTAAACCAATAAGAATGTTGACACAGTCCCCTCCACCACAGGGGTATGTTGTAATTAGCAGCCAGAACATGGCAACTATAGAGAGAAACTCCTCACCCCCATAAGATCTTGGGGAAAAATTGAAGGATAAAATCAACAAAAGCAGATCAGATTAAAACTAATATATTAAAATCACTTTGAAGAAAGACAACTGTACCCAGGCAGGCAACAGTATATTTAACTGATTAAATGTATTAACATATCTAAAGAACAAGTGTATTATCTGAAAGGGATTGACCACGAACACACAGAAAAAAACAAGCAGTAAACTTCAGTAATTGCCATCTAGGAAAAGTCCTATTAACATAAATTTTGGGAGAAAAGTGGAGGAAAAGGAGACTGAACTGTTGGAGAGCATGTCTTCACTAGTGGATTTTGGACACTTGGGTGAAGCTTCCCTATTACCAAAATTAATGAACAAATGAATTCAGCAATTGTTTACTGAGAATCTGTTATTCACCAGGCACTGGGGATACAAAAATAGACAGAGTTTATGATCTAGGGATGTTATAGTGCTGAGTAATACAGGTGTCGCAATGAGGGGATGAGAATACATTAAAATGAGGTTACTATGAGAATACATTTAAAAGGAGACCTTTTTAGAATAAGACATAAGATGAGAGAAGGCTTTCTTCTAGCCTGTGTTCCTGGCACAAACCTGAAGGCAAAAGAGAGCAAGACAGGCATTCTAGAAACTCAATGATATTCAGTACGGCTAGAGCCAGGAATGCAAACCAGAGAGTTGTTATAAGTTGTTTTCCCCTGGAAGCAGATTCTCAGAAACAGAGATTAGTGTGCAGAAGGTTTATCTTTACCAGGTAATATGGAAGAGAAGGGAAGGAAGGAAATGAGATTGAGAGGAGAGAAAAGTCGGGCTGTGATAGTCTTAACAGAGGCCTCAGCCAACCCTACCGGGAGCTCTGAAGCTGAGATGGCCCTTCAGAGCTGTCCTGAATTGAAATGACAGGACCAGATCTCTACAATAACTTCATGTATATCAGCCATTTGATATATGGAACTCCGAAAACAGATGACAGCTGAGGGCTGACTACCAACAGCAGTGCCAGTAGCTGTCAGAATAAACCTTTCAGTCTGGAAGGCAGATCTGGTAGCTGGATGACAGCATGATAGTAAGTGAGAGGGGAGATAAAGCTGAGAAAGTAGCCAAGGCCATACCATGAAGGGTCTTGTAAGTCATGTTAGGGGCTTTGGACTTTATCTAAACAAAACAAGGTGGCCACTGCAAAGTCTTCCTTAAGATAGTGAGTTGCAAATATTCGTACTTTTAAGTGATCATTATGCCAGTGTTTATTCTTTTAGGGTGGGAAAAGAGACAAAAATGACAAGATTGGAGGAAGAGGAAAAGAAGGTATTTTAGGAGGCTATTGAAGGGATCCAGGAGAGAGATGATGGCAGCCTGAATGGGGCCATGGCAATAGAATTGGAAAACAGTTAATGGATTAAGACAAATTTCAGTCACAGAATGGGTTAAATTGGTTTTCTGATTTTATGTGAGGGTGCAAAGGAAGTAATATGAATGCTTACAAAATAAGTGATAGTGGTGGTATTCACCAAGCCAAGTACCACCAGAGATGGAACAAGGCTCAGTGGGGGAGGGGTGGAGATAGGAGTAACTAGTTCAATTTTAGAATCCTAGATGTTACATGTGAGTAGCATATCCAAGTGGTATGTGGCTATACCTTCTGGTCAGGAGTTAAGAGGAAAAAAAATGTAGCTTCCAGTAGATTTGCCTCCAATTTAAAAATAATAAATTATTCTTAGGAAAAAATTTAATATCTCAGAGAAAGCTATAGAATAGGAAAAGAACACCTAGGACAGAGCTCTAAAAAATACTGTCTTTGTCTGTTTGGGCTGCTATAACAAATTATATTAGAACAGGTAATTTATAAACAACAGAATTTATTACTCACAGTTTTGGAGGCTGGGAAGTCCACTATTAAGGCACCATCAGATCTTTTGTCTGGTCAAGACCTGTTCTTCCAGATGGTGCCTTCTTGCTGCATCCACACATGGCAAAAGGGGTGAACGTTGTGTCTTCACATGGTAGAAGGGACTAATGCTATGTCCTCACATGGCAGAAAGGGTATAAGAAACTAGTGCATTCCTTTCAATCTCATTTATAATGGCACTAATACCATTCTCTACCCTCATGAATCACTTCCCCAAATCCTCACTTATTAGTGGTGTATCACAGTGGGTATCAAGTTCCAACATATGAATTTAGGGGGCATCAACATTCAGACCATAGCAGATACCAACATTTAAGGAATGGAAAGAAAAGGACATTTGTAAGGACAAATAAGCTCCAGGAGCTAATGTGCCACCATGTCTCTTAGTGTTAGTGGCAGGGACATAGTGGTTTTCTTGCCAAGAGCTATTACAGAAGGGTGGTGTGGGCTGAAGCCAGCCCACAGGGTTCATGAATCAGTGAGTAGAAAGTCAGGGCCTATGCTATGATTTGAATGTATGTGTCTCCCCAAAATTCATACATTTGGACTCTAAGACCCAATGTGACAGTATTAACAGATGGGGCCTTTAAGAGGTAATTAAGCCATGAGGATTCCGTCCTCATGAATGGGAATAGTAGGCTTATAAAAGGGCTCAAGGGAACTAACAAGGCCCTTCTTGCCCTTCTACCATTTTAGAACACAGCAACAAGGTACATTGATCTTGTTGCTATGTACAAGGTACATAGATTTCTCCAAAACTATGAGAAATAAATTTCTTTTGTCAATAAATTACCCAGTCTAAGGAATTTTGATATAGCAGCAAAAATGGACTAAGACAGTCAGGTCCTGATGACATGTGCCAAAGGTAGTCAGAGCGCAGCTTGGTTTTATACATTTTAGGAAAACATGAAACATAATCAACATATGTAAAATGAACATTGATTTGGACCAGAAAGGCGGGACAACTTGAAGTAAAAGTGAAACAACTTTAAGCAGGCAGATGGCTTCCAGGTCACAGAGAGGTGAGAGATAAATGTAGGCCACATTACTCTGAAGTCCATACGTTGATAGGCAGGTATGAAAGTGGCTTATGTATGTAAACAGATTGCTGTTATTTTCTTCTGAAGTTTAAGTTGTTTAGCTTCAGTTTGCAGGGCTTTATGAAAGAACATCTTAGTTTTTAGTAATTTCAAATAAGGAAAAATGGAAAAAAGAAAAAAATTGAAAACATTATTTTGCACACTAATAGCTAAGAAAACTTAGAATTCTGTCCAAACTGTAGAAAATAATAAAAATTTAAAAATGTTAGGCAAGACTAGAATTTAACAACAGGTGTACTATAGTTTTGAAACATAATATTTCTCTCTCCAGTTTCCCATTTTTACTAAAGATGAATCATGGTAGAGCTGGTTTGCTTTGTTATACCTGGCCTAATTATTTGCATACAGTGCAGCAAAATAATTATTTATTACATATGCTTTTAAATTGGCTTTGAGGGAACTGCGTTCCTCAGGAGGAATCTCAGATAAGACTTTTTTAAAGTTGAGCCCACCCATGGATTTGTGCCATTAAATACCCATGAGATGGATGATTCTCTCCTTTTGAAGTTCCATGATAAACCAGGGCTCCTGGGCCTGATAGAAAGTGACATTCTTTACCTACCCCAGGTCAGGAACCCTGTGCAGCAGCTGTGTAGGAAAAGGTATGAGGCTAGTTTTTCCAAGGGGCTTTTATTGGCTCTATAAGTCAAGTTTGATTCCTTAAAGGAAATCACACCATTCCAGTTAAAGCCTTGGTAAAATAACCACTTTCTTCAATTGCGTCCTGTTATAAATGAAAACAGATTTTCACTGCACTTATACAAATAACTGTGTTATTGTAAGTTAAGAACACTCACAAATAGTTTCCAAATTCTGGAGAAATCAGGTAGAGAGAAACAAATATACTTCAAATTTTGTTTATAGGAGTATACTTTACTTGTTAAAAGCTGTAAAGAGCTTAAAAGAAAATTTTTCTTGACTCTGAAAAACAAAACAAAGGATCAGCAACTTTTTAACCAAAAAGTTAAAAAGATTACTTTAGTCTTCTATTAGTTCAGTTCATGCAGTTTACTCCCATTCTGCTTGATATTCATGAACAATTTCGGTTGTCCATGAGAGTCTTGAAAGTTTTTCCTCTATTCTAATGTCACAATCTCCCAAGTTAACAGAAATCTGCACTTAAGAACACCTGTTAGAGTTCTATAGCTGATTATAAAGTCACCTTTTAACGAGGACCAAAATAAGACAACAATTGTCCATAGATGACAAAAGGTTTTATGGCAGCCATAGCTAAAGACACAATTGACAAGCAAATTTGTTACCTCTGTGCCACACAACAATTTAACATAACAATAAAAATTATGACTGATAATGTACACCAAGTTATATCAGAATTATAGGAGTTTCCCATGATTTGGGGATGCATACCAATAACACATTTATACAAATACAGCCTAAAGAAATCAAACACAGGCCGTGCCCGGTGGCTCAAGCCTGTAATCCCAGCACTTTGGGAGGCTGAGGCAGGTGGATCATGAGGTCAGGAGATTGAGACCAACCTGGCCAACGTGGTGAAACCCGTCTCTACTAAAAATACAAAAATTAGCCAGGCGTGGTGGTGGGCGCCTGTAGTCCCAGCTACTCAGGAGGCTGAAGCAGGAGAATCACTTGAACCCAGGAGGCAGAGGCTGCAGTGAGCCGAGATCACACCACTGCACTCCAGCCTGGACAGCAGGCCAGGCTCTGTCTCAAAAACAACAACAACAAAAAACCATTCATATTTGACAGTGTTTCCTGTACAATTTTTATATCAAATAAGGCAAATTATGTCATTATTGGACTTTAGGGGACCTAATATCTTAAAGGATTAATTAGATCAGAAGACATAATTTATAGTTTGATTTTGGACAGTTTATGAAATATCAAAGGATTAAAATGCTTGATATCACAGGTCATTGTAAAATAAGTCATTCATTTGACAAAAGTGATAACTCAAAAATTTCAAAAAGAGAGACAAAGACTTTCATTCTTTGAGAGGAGACTGAATTTTCCAAATAATAAGCCCTAATAAAAACAGCATGAAGCCAATTAAATTTGTTTTTCAAAATTTTATAAACAATCTACAAAATTTTAATCTTGACCATGAGATATAACTTTCATAAACCTTTTATAAACTTTATTTAAGAGTCAGCTAATGCTTCAAGAAAACCTTGTTAATCTGACACGGGCCCATATGCTGGTCTTGCATCAGTGTGCCTTTGACATTAATGATTAATTTATAGAGAAACTGAACTCAGGATTGACTCTTACATTCTCACACACCCACCTTTTCCATGATAGTCCCTGGGCCTTGAGGAGTTGAATAGCTTTAATTTCTGGCTCTATGTTTCAGGAATGCAGTTTATTTTGATTGACATCTTGTACTGGGCCTGAAGATGGGGCTTTAATTGCTGTCAGTGTTTAAAATTTAGCAGGACTTGGTGTCCCTTTGTGGACCCAAGAGTCAAAGCCCTGTAACTCAATGTCATAAGTACTTTGAAAGTGCATACAAAGAGATACACAGATGTAATAATCTGAATTTTAATTTTTTTTTTAATTTTTATTTTTTTTCCCTAAGCAACTTGGAGCAGGGAGGGGGCTTCCAGGTCACAGGTGGGTGAGAGACAAAAATGGTTGCATTCTTTTGAGTTTCTGATTAGTCTTTCCAAAGGAGGCAATCAGTTATGCATTTATCTCAGTGAGCAAAGGGAATACTTTGAATAGCATGGGAGGCAGGTTTGCCCTAAGCAGTTCTTAGCTTGAATTTTCCCCTTACCTTAGTGATTTTGGGGGCACAAGATATTTTCCTTTCACATTATATAACATACAATATTATGTAATATACAAATTCTATCTAATATTATTAACATATATATTATATAAATATAATATATAATTTAATATACAATAAACAAATACAAAATAAATATGTTATACTATATACTTACATATAACATGTATTATATATGTATGCATGTATATATGTAAGTTTATTGTATGCAAACATCACACATACACATATGATTGATATATATGTGTGTATATATAAATACAAAAGAGAAAGAAAAAGAGGAAAAGTAAACTTTAAATAAAACAGTGTGTTTTAGATGTTAATTTCCAAATGCTTCTAGAAGCTGGTACCCATTTTAGCTTGTGCCTGAGGGAAGTGGTTGTGATCTTTGCCCATCTGCAGTATCTCCAATCCTGTATCTAACATTATTAACATCTTGGGCCATCTGGCCAAATCTTTACATAAGGAAATCGAGAAGTAGCAGGATTTTGTAGTTGTCTTCTCTGTTGAAAAATTATTTTGGATATTTGTTCTCTGTATATTTCCTTCCACTTCCTATTTGTAACTGATTATCCATGACGTTTATGTTTCTTGCCCGAGATTTATGGGGCTTGAGAACAAGATGCCTTCCTGGCATTTGTTATTCTAAGGCCTGTCCTATTTTGAAAGGTTAAGTGCCAATGAAAGGGGGAGGGTACATTCAGGGGAGAAATGAGAAGGAAGTGGAGGAGGTAAAATTTTTCTAAGATCAAAAAAGAGGTCAGAATTGATGAAGGTAGGGTGAACTGGAGAAGGCGTGGCAGTGACCAGGCTTCAGAGCAAATTCCTTGCAGGAATAACTAGGAAGACAGGGCTCTGGGCAGGGGCTTCCCAGAAGCAGCTCAGATTATTGAAACCCTGTGTAGCTTAGGAGCAGAGATTGACAGGGCTTCTTTCCTCATGCGTGGACTAGGAGCAGTACCAGAAAGACAGTGGAGCCCTTTCAGCCATTTCGTGGATCTCATATAAACCTCCCTGGTTCTGTGAGATCCCAGGGAAGGATCTGGCCCCTAAATGACTGAGATGAAATTTCTTGACATCCTAGTGAAATAGTAGTTTGGAATTAAAATTCAGTTTATTTAAAGAATATAAATTACCGGAATCATGTTTGCACAACTGAGTGTACTATATGACTGAGATCTGATCCTGCTACTAAGATTTTTCTTAATGTAAAAACATGCAAAAATTCTTTAGTGCTTCTGCAATGAACGCCATTCAACAAGTATTTATTGAAGGCTTTCTAAGTGCCAGGCATTCAGGATACAATGGTGAACAGAACAGATATGCCAGAGCTTGTAACCTAGAAGCAGGATAAGCTAGTAAACAGGGAATTAAATAAGTGCACTAAGAATAATGACAGGGTAAAATAAGTTTATTAGAGGAGACATAGGAGACCACTTAACTCAGACTTAGGAAGTCAGACAAGAGAATGTTCCTCCAGGAAAAGGCTTAGAGAGAAGACAGTGTTCACTAAGTACTGGAAGAAATAAGAGTTAAACATGAAGTTCAAGGTGGGGAGTGAAGAAATGGGTGCAGGGAAGTCACCAACGTCCAGGACACTGATGACCTTAAAAGCAATGTTAAGGGACTAGGGCTTTTACGTGATTGCTCAAACTTTCATATCTAGTATAAATTTTCTGCAGGCTTCTAAAGAGGTCTTCATTTTTCCATTGCATTTTACATATATATATTTGCTACAGCTATTGATTCAGCAGGAAAAGCATTGTGATTTGTAAATTTGCTGGTTTGTATCTCAGAACTGTGCTATTTAGTAAGCAGTGAGAAGGTTTTATGGGTCACAAACGTTTTTAACCAGAAAAGAGCAGTTTCTAGTTTCTGGCCACTACCTGAAAATGCCTCCTCATTGCACAGGATTCATTTAGCTCTGTTTTGCTTCCTTTGTTGCAATATCAGACATCCCCGTGATTGCAGCAGCTCCAGCCCACTTCTGTGTAAAATAAGGAAGGAGAAATTTCTTCTAGTTTCAATTTTGGTTTATATCATCAGCTCTTAATATTTCAGTTTTGAAAACAAGCTGGCATTCAAAAACTAACCATATTGAATGATTTACTAGGCTAGACAAAAGAATTAAAACCCACCCAGTGTTACACAGGCCCAGGCAACTTTGGGCTTAGCAATGCCAGATGGTTTGCTCAAGGATAGGATAAATTAAGCCCCCCTAAAGTCAAGATCTGATATAGTCATATTATTAACACTTTCAACTATGCCATTAGCATTTGGAAAATTAAGATAGCTTAAGCATTAACATCGTATTCACTGCTTCAGATGCAAAGAGTGTTGCCTTAACCAATAGCTAAAAATTTCCATTTCCAAGGGCTTGGAAAGATTCCAGTCAATGTCTACCTGTTCACAGAAGCTGGATGAACAAGACATTATGATTCAGCTGACTTTATATTCACAGTGTGCAACAGAATTATAGCTTAAAATTGAAAGAAGTTTATATATATTTGGGAACAAACAATGGATTAAAAAAGATATCTGAAACATTTTTTGTATTCCTGAGTGGCACAAAGCTAATTGAAAAAAATAAAGTCCATCTACATAGTAATCTTAAAGCTATGTATTGAATAAAATTAGTTTAGAAGGCAATATGCTTTAGGATTCATTTAGCTTGATAACTGATCTAATCCTTTGTTATATTTGCACTTTTCCCGTTTAGGTGAATTGAATTTGGGCTCCCTAATAGGGACTGCTGAAGAGTTTATAAATACTATATTTTCCTTGTTCTGTAATGTGCAAGAGTGCTGACCACTAGGTCCTCATGACAAAATTCATATACACAATGGTTTCTTACGCCAACTACCACATGGTACAATCTTCTGTGAGGGGACTAGGCAGCCAGTGTGAAGGGCATGCACAGCCAAAGATGTTTTGTGTGTTTCAATCCATAGTCCTCCAAGGCCAGTAAGTTCACAGTTTTGCTGGAGTTGCTGGTATAACTTGGCAAGTCTTTGATTTCAATTGTATCAGTCAGGTAGGAGCCATCACACCCTCTGGCCATCTGCCAGGAAAAGAGACAAGACTCAACATTTCATGATGCAGCATTGTTGTATGACACAGAAGCAAAACTTTAAATCGCAATTACTCATGCCTTCACTGTAACTCTCCCAAGGTAAGATCCATTTAAAGCCAAGAGATTGAGAAAAGTGCGTCATCATGGCCTCCTACCTTAATAAGCAAGGGAAAAGAGGTAACAATCTTTCATTCTGGCAGTCATAGGCCTTAAAGTCTCTAGGCAAAACAATTGGAAGCTAGAGGTGTATTGAAAAGTGAGAAAAGAGATTGCGAAGTTAGACTTACTAGAGATTAATGCTGTATGGAAATAAATAACAATATTAGAACATTATTTGTATCTGAGTTTTGTTGAAAAGATGCATTATTTGTGTAGCTGAATTAAAATGCAGAATTTCAGATATAAAGCAAACGCAACAAAAATCCTATTGGACACTAAGGATGTAACAAAAGAGATCATAAAATAATACACTAGTCACAATTCTATACCACAGTTGTCTAAAAGAAATCGATTTGGATTTACCTGGGAATATTTTCTTGAGATGGGGTCTCGCTATGTTGTCCAGGCTGGTCATTAACTCCTTGCAGTCTTTTCATCTCGGCCTACCAAAGTGATGAGGATTACAGGCATGAGCCACCGTGACTAGCCACCTGAAAAATTATGATTCCTTTGATGGCAATTATACAAAAGTGGGTCTAATGGTAACATTTTAAAAATACTTTTAAACTCTCAAAACTTATTTATCCCAGTCCTTTGATGAAATTAACAACAATAACAAAAAGTAATATGGGTAAAATATCTAGTACAATGTCTAAAAATATGCTTAAAATGTTTTTTGTTATTTATTATGCCTGGTATAATTCCAAGAAAAACTAATGTTTATACACCTGTGTCACTTGACTAAGCTATATAATTCTTTACCTCCATGTTAACTATAGATACTTTCAAAGACTGAATACATCATGAACATAGCACTTACTAGGTTTGTTTTTATTGGCATAACTTTTTATTGTAAAGCATATCCATAAAAAAGAACATACATAGTATCTATATTTAGTGAGAATAATCCTCTAGAAACATATAACAAAACAGTATTAGTAATTCCCACTCTTGTAATTAGGTAGCATTAATTAAAATACAAACTCATAAATTTGTGAATAAGAAGATATACCCTTAACATGGATAATAACTAATGGGAAAACCTTAGAGACATTCACTTGAACCAGCTTATTGATGAGATACACTTTTATCATGCACCTCCTTTATTCTAGGCATTGTGACAGGTGCTGAAGATTCAGAAAAGGAAAAAGCATGAGCTCTGCTCTCAAGGAACTCAGATACTCACATAATTTGTCATTAGCAACATGCTTCAGTGTCTAATGAGGCAAACAAAGATTGTTACCTAGCTTTCCTTTGGAAATTCTGGTAAGGGCATAAGATTAACAGAGAGCAGTAATTATTTGAAAGAGCTTCATTATTTGCAACGTATATTTTTATGACTCTAGAAAATCTAACAGAATGATTACGAAAATTTTAGAATTAGTAACAGACCTTAATAAAGTGGTAGAATAGAAGCTTTTGTTAAAATATTTGCAGAAAAACAACAATAGTGTGTAAATAAATAGGGTGAAGTGATTTATATAAATAGCAACAAAATAATAAACACCAAACAATGCCAAGCATGATGGCTCACACCTGTAATCCTAGCACTTTGAGAGGCCAAGGCAGATAGATCATTTGAGCCCAGGAGTTCAAGACCAGCCTGGGCAACATGGTGAAACCACGTCTCTAAAAAAATACAAAAATTAGCCAGGCATGGTGGCATGCACCTGTATCCCAGCTACTCAGGAGGCTGAAGTGGGAAGATCCCTTCAGCCCGGGAGGTTGAGGCTGTGGTGAGCCGTGATCGTGCCACTGCACTCCAGCCTGGGTGACAGAGTGAGACCCTGTCTCAAAAAAAAAAAAATACAAAGCAAAACAATACACAAATCTCTAGGAATTGCCCTAACAAGAAATATGTCAGAGTCTATTAAACACATATACATACACATCCACACATGCAGAAAACATCATAAAACTATTCAAATACATGGTGAGTTTTAAATAGATGGCTATTCCACATTTCTAAACCAAAAAATTTAATATGATAAAGACCCATAACATTTATCCCAAATTTACCATGATTCCAATGAAGGTGGCACTGGTTGTATTATCATTATTGGAATTAAACATGATGTTTTGAAAATTCATCTAGAGAAGCTAAGAAAATTTTGAAACAAAAATTATAGGAGATTTTCTTTATAAGATATTAAGGTATATTATATCACAAAAATAATAGAATAGGCAATTTTTGCAAATATTGTTAGGCAATGAAACAGAATTGATAGATCTAAAACAGTTTAGCGTACATGGGAACTTAGTAAACATCATGAATCAATAGGGAACAAATTGATTATTATGTAAATAGCTCTGAAGAAACTCACAAATTATTGGAAAAGGATATCAACTTTACTCACCATATTAAAATAAACATCATCTTTTTAAATTCCAGAGGGATATGAGACTTTGTAAAAAAAAAAATGTGGAAGTGCTTTCTGAGCACAAATGTCTTAAAAGCCCACCAGAAAGTTTATTACATTTAGTTGAATTTTTAAAAATTAAATTACAGGAGCCGTTCTGAACCTATCCTGGTTTGGAGGTGCCTGATTCGTGAAAGAAAAATTAATTAATTAATTAAAGTCAGTACATAAAAATATATTAAAATTTATTTGTCAAAGGACAGAGGGAATATATTTGAAAAACAGACTATGAGTAAAAAGTTATCTTTTCTTTTTTCCTTTTCTCCTTCTTTCTTTTCTTCAACAAACATGTATTAAGTTTTGGCCAAAGCTGTGTAGGAATTAAAGATTCAATGGCAAACATAGATTTAGTTCCCAGGACTGCTGCCGTCCACAGGGTACCTCTGAGGGAGCTAGAGAAAAAGGCACCCCTGTTGATTGCAGATTGTGGAATTAAGAAGGGCTGGATTTCAGGTTCCACTAGCTAGCCTCAGTTTTTACCCCTGGGCAATAAACTTACATGGCCCTATTTGGGTACATTCCAGTTCTGCTCACAACCTAATAGGCAAAAAATGTCAATTAAACAATTACTATATAAAGATGCAAAGCAATACAGAGTAGGGGGCTCTTAACCAGAACTGAAGAGAGCAGGGATGGGTAGTTGGCAGAAGTAGCAATTAAGAAGTGAAGATTGCGCAAGATTTGCACATGGAGACAGGGCAGCATGTGCACTAAGGTGAGATCTTCATTCCATAATGAGCTTTTGCAACCAATAAAAAAATTGGCATCAGAAAATAAAATGGGGCAGGATATACCGAAATTATCAGAATATTAAGTTAAAAATACGAAAAAAATTTATCTTCTCAAGTAATCAAAAAATACAAATGAAACAGCAATGGCAATACTAATTTTCTTCTATAAAATTGATAATATTTGATAATATCTGTTAAAAGCCTTGAAAGAACTCATACCCTTTGTTCAAGTAATTCTTCTTAAAACTCTAATATAAAATAAAAACAATAGAAATGCAAAGATTAAATGTAAAAGCATTCATGATCAAACATGGATGCCATCACTGAAGAATGAATAAACAAAATGTTGCATATTTATAAAATGGAATATTATTCAGCCATAAAAAGTAATAAGGCTGGGCATGGTGGTTCACAGATTGCCTGTAACCCCAGCCCTTTGGGAGGCCAAGATGGGAGGATAGCTAGAGCCCAGGAGTTTGAGGTTAAAGTGAGCTATGATGGGCGCCTGTATTAGTCCATTCTCACACTGCTCTGAAGAAATACCCAAGACTGGGTAATTTATAGAGGAAAGAGGTTTGATTGACTCACAGTTCTCCATTGCTGGGGAGGCTTCGGGAAACTTACAATCATGGCAGAAGGCAAAGGAGAAGCAGGCTCTTTCTTCACAGGGCGGCAGGACGGAGTGAGTGCGAAGCGCAGGGGGAAGCCCCTTATAAAATCATCAGATCCTGGCCGGGCGCTGTGGCTCAGTACAGTTTATTCGCCTGTAATCCCAGCACTTTGTGAGGCCGAGGCGGATGGATTACGAAGTCAGGAGTTTGAGAGCAGCCTGGCCAACATGGTGAAACCCCGTCTCTACTAAAAATACAAAAATTAGCCTGGCGCGTGGTGGCAGGTGCCTGTAGTCCCAGCTACTCGAGATGCTGAGGCAGGAGGATCCTTGAACCCAGAAGGCGGAGATTGCGGGTGAGCGGAGATCGCTCCACCGCACATCAGCCTGGGCTAAAGAGCAAAACTCTGTCTAAAAAAAAAAAAAAAAAAAAAAAAAAAAAAAAAAAAAAAGAAAGAAAGAAAAAAGAGAAGAGAAGAAAAAAGAAAAGAAAAGAAAAGAAAAGAAAAAAAAACCATCAGATCCCGTGAGAATGAACTCACTATCACGAGAACAGCATGGGGGAAACCACTCCCATGATTCAGTTATCTCCACCTCTTCTCTCGCTTGACACGTGGGGATTATGGAAATTGTGGGGACTACAATTCAAAGTGAGATTTTGGCTGGCAACACAGTCAAACCATATCAGCACCACTGAACTTCAGCCTGGGCAACAGAGTGATAATCAGTCTTTAAAAAGGAATGACATTTTGACGCATGCTACATCATGGACAATTCTTGAAAACATTGTGCCAAATGAAAGAAGACAGTCACAAAAGACCAAATAGAAAAGTGGTTGCTTGGGATTGAGGGACAGGGAGAAACTAGGATGGGTGGATAGGGGGATGGTGACTAAAGGGTGCAGGGTTTCTTTTGGGGATGATGAAAATGTTCATAAGTTGCTTGTGGTGGTGGTTGCACACGTTTATACATATGATAAAAAACAAAAGTACACTTTGAATGAGTGAATTGTATAGTATGTGACTTATGTCTCAATAAAGCTGTCTAAAAACAATGTGTATGATAGCAAAAAATAAAGAAAAACCCTAATATCCAAAAAAATATACAAATGGTTTGACAATATCATGATACAAGTATAAATTAGAATAATATGTGTAAAACACTGCATAATATGATGTTAAAGTATGAAAATAGAGTACTATTTATGTCTATATAACACATTGACATAGATTAGTTATTTCTGGGTGCTGACATTTGTGGGTGATTTTTATCTCTTCCTTAATTTTTTGCTCATTAAACCTGTTTCATAGCACAGGCATCTATTTTTACAATTAAAGGAAATGACACATTAGAAAAAAGATGGAAACAAATTTGAAAAAAAATGTAAGAATGCCCAAAACTAGACTTCTGGGAGAAGAATATAAATCTTGGAAGATAAAATATTAAAATGTAGTACTTCATTGGGTTTCTTTTTTGTTTGTTCCCCTTTTTTTTTAAAAAAAAGCATACTATATTTTACACAATTAACTTTATGCCCTACACTTCTTGTGGTGAGCCACAGCTATTTAAAACTTTTTTTTTCTCACATTTGTCATTCAGAAGAAATAGCAAGCTGTTCACAAATGATATACAGCTCTAAAAATGCTACTTTCTTCTTGTGATTTGAGCATATAAAGAAAAAACACAGCTGAGTGATTTAATGGGTACTTCATAATAAGTGTCAGAGACAGAGTTCTAAGGGGCTGATACAGTTAGAACTGAACAACAATGTAAAGAACTACTAATGGAATTCTTGAAACTATAATACAACATTTAGAATTATTTAAGTGGATATTCCTCCCTATGTGTGGAGTTTAAGCAGCTTTAGAAGCTATCTTTTCTAAAATCATCTTCATCTTGTCCAAATGGAAAGAACATACTGTGGTTATGTACAGAAATACGTATAGTTTTAGAAATTCATATGTAGGGGTGGAATAACATGACTATTATTTGCTTTAAATGCTTCAGTGAAAGGAAAGAAAGGGAAAAAATAGATGGATGAAGCATACGTGACAAAATTCTGATAATTATTCTGGGTTATTGATATATTTGGGTTTATTACATGTTGTGCAAGTTTGTGTAACATAGTATCTTTTAAGTGGAAAAGACATTTTAAATTTATTTTAAAGAGTATAAATATAATTTAAAGAAAAAGATTAATAAATTACATGAGGCATAGAGAAAGCTTATGAATCTTAGTTAATGTAGGTATACTAAAGATGCTTAAATTTTATGTTGTTACTCCAAACATCAGTAAGCCATGTGAAAAAAAAGTTTTTACTTGCAAGCTAGAAGAGGCCCTAAGATTGTCCTAAAACAACATAAATAATTTTCCTTGTCTTGTTTCTGATCTTAAAGGAAAAACTCTCAACTTTTCATCATTGAGTAGGATGTTAGCTGTAGGTTTGTACATCATTTCATCATTGAGTAGGATGTTAGCTGTAGGTTTGTAGTGTAGTACAATAAAGGCATTGTATTGAGGAACATTATTTCTATACCTAATTTGTTCAAATTTTTCATTATGAAATGATATTGAATTTTTTCAAGTGCTTTTCTGCATCTATTGAGATCATCATACGATATTTATCCTTCATTCTGTTAATGTTATATATCACATTTATTGATTTGTGTATGTTGAATAACCTTTTAATCCCAGTAATTAATCCCACTTGATCATGGTGTATGATCCTTTTAATGTGCTGTTTGCTAGAAATTGAGGATTTTTGCATGTATGTTCATCATGGATATTGGCCTGTAATTTTCTTTTCTTACAGGGTACTTGTCTGGCTTTGGTATCAGCATAATGTTGGCCTCATAAAATGAGTTTGGATGTATTTCCTCCTCTTAAATATTTTGAAAAAGTTTGAGAAAAACTGACGATTATTCTTTACATGTTTGGGGGAATTCACCAGTACAGCCATCAGGTCCTGGGCTTTTCTTTGATGAGAGATTTTTGATTACTAATTAAATCTCCTTACTTATTATAAATCTGCCCATATTTTCCATTTCTTCATGATTTGGTATTGGTAGATTATATATTTGTTAGAATTTGGTCCTTTCTTCTAGGTTATCCAGTTTGTTGCCATATAATTGTTCATAGTAGTCTCTAATGATTCTTTGTATTTCTCTGGTATTTCTTGTACTGTCTTCTCTAATTTCTGATTTTATGTATTTGAGACTTCTTTCTTTCTTTCTTAGTCTAGTTAAAAGTTTGTGAATTTTGTTTGTCTTTTCAGAAACCCATCTTTTACTGTCAATTTTCTCTATTGTTATTCTAGTCTCTATTTTATTTATTTCTGCTCTGATCTTTATTATTTCGTTTCTTCTACTAACTTTGAGCTCAGTTTGTTCCCCCTCTAAGTATTGCCTCCTGCTGAGGCAATCTTCCTACCTCAGCCTCCTAAAGTGCTAGGATTATAGGCATGAGCTACCACACCTAACCCTCTCTCTTTTTTTTTTTTTGTTTTTAACATCAGGCAGTTTATTTAACCTTTCTTTAAGTTCGTCCACTCTAAAATTTCAGTAACAAATGCTAATACTTGATGAGCAATATATATATGAAACAAGATGAACACTCAATGAATATTTATTTTTTATAGTAATAAAGATGTTACCTCCTCTATTTTAGAAATTTCTATAATTCTAATAAAAAGTTGCTAAATGATATTGGTTATTTTAAAATTTAATTTCCCAAAATATTTCGTTTTTGTTTCTTTATTGTATTTTGTTTTAAGACAGGGTCTTGCTCTGTCACCCAGGTTGAAGTACAGTGACATGATCATAGCTCACTGCAGCCTCAAACTCCAGAGCTCAAGCAATCCTCCCATTTCACCCTCCCAAGTAGCTAGGACTACAGGCTCATGCTAAAATGCCTGACTAATTCGTTTTCTTATTTTTTGTAGAGATAGGGTCTTGCTGTTTGGCCAAGGCTGGTCTTGAACTCCTAGACTCAAGCAATCCTTCTGCCTCAGCCTCAAGTGCTGGGCAAGTGCAAGCCACCATGCCTGGCCAGTATTTCTTTTGAAACTACCATATTTTATGCTTGAGACTTACTTTGAGAATATAACACTTTCTGTGGAGAGCATTTACTGGGAGTTACATTGGTCCTTGGGGAGTTGGGAACCCTTTGGTTTCTACTGGCTGGAATCCACCCTGAGCTCATCCACTGATGAGCTGCGTATGTCTCAAATGCTGACCATTATTCTCCCTACAGCATCAGCATCCCATTGCCAGGAGACCCTTCCAGATGTATGAAAATTGCTGGGGTGTTGATGTCTTATTTTAGTATCTTTGGAAGAAAAGAAATGTAAAGTATGAGCACTGCAACATTTTAAAATAGGCTTTTATGATTCAGCAGCATCTAAGGAAAAAACTAAATTTGTCGCTGATTCCTGATTGTTCTTCAACAACAGTTTAAGATTTACTGCTTTGTTGTCAAAGAAATATTTTCAAATAACATCTGTATATTTCTTTTTATATCTCTGGAACTGAAGCAAGGAACCCAAAACCAAAAGCACTTTGAACCAGTTTTAAATATGAAACATGAAATGTGGCATTAGCATCTAGCATGACATTTTTCCTGTAGTAAATGCTCGAAAAGCATACATAAAATATAATTGAAAAATTATCCAAAATAAGTGGTCCTAGAGTTTACCAGTATTAAAGATTTATTTGGAAAGATAAAAAGAGGAGACTTATACCTATATTGAGTACAGTTGACCCTTGAATAATATTTTTGTTTGGTTTACATGATGAGTTTGAGTTGCTAAATGATATTGAGTTAGTTTAAAATTTAATTTCCCAAAATATTTCTTTTTTGTTTCTTTGTTGTGTTTTGTTTTGAGATAGGGTCTTGCTTTTTCACCCAGGTAGGAGGGGTTAGTGGCACTGACCTCCCTATGCAGTCAAAAATCTGCATATAACTTTCGACTCGCCCCAAATTTAACTGCTAATAGCCTACAGTTGACAGCAACTGTTTATGTTACTGATAACATAAACAGTTGTCTGGGCATGGTGACTCATGCCTGCAATCCCAGCACTTTGGGAGGCTGAGTCAGGAGGATCCCTTGAAGCCAGGAGTTTGAGATCAGCTTGGGTAACATAGTGAGACCCTGTCTCTACAAAAAATGAAAAATTAGCTAGGCATGGTGGCACTCACCTGTAGCCTTAGCTACTCAGGAGGCTGAGGTAAGAGGATCACTTGAGACCACGCGTTCAAGTCTGTAGTGAGCTAGGATAGTGCCACTGCATTCTGGATTCCAGCCTGGGAGACAAAGCAAGACGCTGTCTCAAAAAAAAGATTTAGCAGTTGACTAATACATATTTTGTAGTTATATGTATTATATACTGAATTCTTACAATAAAGTAGACTAGAGAAAAGAAAATGTAAAGAAAATTGTAAGGTAGAAAAAATTGATTTACTGTTCCTTACATGGAAGTGGATCATCATAAACGTCTTTATCCTTAGTGTCTCCATGTTGAGTAGGCAAAGGAGAAGGAGGAAGAGGTGGAGTAGGACTTGCTGTCTCAGGGGTGGCAGCAGTGGAAGAAACTTTGCATAGAAGTGAACCTGTGCAGCTCAAACCTGTATTGTTCACTGCAATTATTTCTAAGACTAGGAACAACAACAAAAAGTGTTATCATATACATAAAAGCTCTTAAGTATCCTACACAATATTGTGTCTCTGGATACTAACTCAGTAGCAAAGTAAAAGACAGTGTGAATGTAGTATTTATTATGGTGAGCTATGATCATGTCACTGTACTCCAACCTGTGTGACAAAGCAAGACCCTGTCTCCAAACAAAATACAACAAAGAAACAAACAATAAATATTCTTGGAAACTAAATTTTAAAATAACTCAATATCATTTAGTAACTCAAAGATTAAATAACACATGGCTGATGGGCAGCCCGGGATTCCAGCAGATGCAGTATGGATGAAGAGCATGTGATCTAAATCACTGTATGAAACTGCATCATATAAACAAAGCAAAACACAGGATGAACTCATTTCCCTTCTTTGGTTCCATCTCTCTCATTTTAAACTTTAACTGAAGTTTAAAGTTTAAACTTTTAAACTTTAAAGTTTAAAAGTTTAAAATTTAAACCGAAGTCAGTTAAACTTCGGGTGTCCTCATAGCCTATCCGCTCTTAAATTTTATTAACTGTGTCAATTCAAAGCTTTCTGGCTTCTGTGCCCAATATCTACCAAAACCACTCCCACCAAGACCACCAATGACTTCACAGAACAGTGTGGAAATAGGGTGGTCTTTGGAATCCTACAGGCCTGAATTTATATCCCAGCAAGTTATTTAACATCTCTAATCTTCAGTTTCACCTCATGCAATTGTTGAGAGATCAAATGAGATAACAGATGTGAAACAACTGGTACATTTTCATTTGAAATCATAATAATACTAATGATAATTGACCTTTAAGCAACATTTAATATTAACTACTCCTCCTTTCTTGAAACCATCTGCACCTTTGGCTTTTAGGAATCTACTTTGCTCTGGCATTCTCCTAATTTTCTAGAAAATTATTGGTCTATTTCATAATTTTATCTTCATTTCCTTAAATCCCAAATATTGATATTTCCCAAGGGTTTATTTTTGACACTTTTCCCTTCTTGCTTGAGATCAATGATTCTTAATTAATGTGTGTTGGGAAAGAGGGCAGAGGGGAATTGAAGGGCCCTTTCAGAATTACTAGAATAATTTTTTCAGACTAGGTATCTTCCATTCCTGACCCACAGACCATTCTGATATATCCCCTTTAGGGCATAATATAGTATATTTTAACTTTTTTTACTAGTTTACTGGTTGTGATAACTAGCCTTTCTAAATTTATAAAGCCTTAGTGTTTCTTTTTTTTTTTGGCACACATAAATGCACATCTAGAAATCCTCAGTGATAAATGTGGAGAAAGTTGTTATCTTCCTCTCTTCACATTTCTTTCTTGGGTTGGGTCATAAAATAGATACTCTCACCAAATCTTCTCGCCTTTCAAGAAGTACTAGTGACCTTCCTTCAATACTTACCCTACCTTGGGGATGTTCTGGGGAAAACGCTGCCATCATTCTGTCCACCCTTTTACTTCCCAAAAGAAGAGAGATTTGTTTAATAGGAAAATTGGGGAGAAGCTGATATCTATTGTCCCATGTTTCTTTACTGGACAAACTAGTGTATTAAAGTTCATTGCCTATGAGAGATCTTATTTCTTGGAATTAATTGTTCCCTTCTGTCTCCCTCCCTTCTTCTCTTTCTCTCTCTCTCTCTCTCTGTGTGTGTGTGTGTGTGTGTGTGTGTGTGTGTGTAAGCATGCACAGAGGAAAAACCACATGAGGACACAGTGAGAAGGCAGCCACCTGCAAGGCAAGGAGAGAGGCTCAGAAGATAACTAACCTGCCAGCATCTTTTTCTTTGACTTTCAGCATCCACGACTGTGATAAAATAAATTTCTGTTGTTTACCTAATCTGTGGTGTTTTGTTATGGCAACCCCAGCAAACTGATATAAGGCTGTTATGAAGATTAAAAGTTAATATATATAAAGTGCCTGGCAATATGCATTTCTTATTGTTATTGCTTCCCTCAAAATTCAGTTTTTGTATATCTTTAATTCTTAGAGCTCACTTCCTTCTTCTATATAATTAGATTTACTAGTTTACTGTTTTTCTTTTCTGGTAGTTTGTAAGCCTCCAAAAGAATGAGGTACCACATTGGCCTGTTCAAATATAAAAGTGATTGGAACATATTAAGGACTAAATAAATATTTATTAAATTAATGAAGGCCTTATGACCAATGTAGGTGCTCTGCCAAATTATTTTTGCTAAACATGGGCCAATTGATTTGAGCATGTCTTCTTTCTGACTTGTCACTGAATTCATGTTCCATTTACTTAAAAAAACAAACTGTATTTAAGGATATAATATAGATTACAGAACTGAATCTTATCTTTTTACTGACCTTACAGAAATATGTTGAATAGGAAATGAAGGAAATAGTTACAAAGAATATGATGTCAGAATGTTTGGGTAAAGATAGAAAACACATCTGAGTGGCATCAATAACAAACAGCCTCACAGGAAGGAAAGCACATTGGCTATAGGTATTCTCCCTCCTACTCTCTAGTGGAGATAGTTTTTACCTTGAGGACAGTGGCGCATTCAGCATAAGAATAGGGGTCATCTATGACTCATGAGTCTGATGTACTGGGGTCAAAGCCACCCAGATAACATCCCCAGTCTGGTCGCAGAACCATAGGCTTCATTTACTAACCTTGTACATATCAGTGGTTAAGCCCTAGAGCTTACATTATGGGATAGGCCCTCTAGAGATTCTACTGAGATTTATGTTCCTGAGCATGAAGTAGGAAGAAGATGAAAAAGCATGATTTACTTTGATGGAAGCAGTGTGTTCTGTTCCTCCTGTCTTATATTGTACTTGAGAGTGTGGTGGTGCCCAAGAGGTAGCAAGAACAGTATTTGCAGATTGGGCAATGCAGCCGGGCCTCAAAATAATAAATAAGGTTCAACTGGGAAAAAAGCAACATAACCTATTGAGGGAAAAATAATCCATACGCTATTAATAAGACAAAGACTGTAACTAGCAAAGACAGGAGCATAATTAGGCCTTCAAAACATCAGTATAGGGTATTATTTGGTCAAAAGAATCAATAAAACACCAGTTATTTTTCAGAAAGGAAGGAAATTGTGAAACAGGCAGGTTGTCTAGCTTAGTTTCTTTAGTATCCACATTGTCTCAAAGGAAGTCAAAAGAAGTTCTGGGTGAAGAAACTTTAAAGATGACTTAACAAATCTGGAGCGGATCAAAGGAGAATACTAAAGTAGCATAGGAGACAAAGTTGCTTCTATAGGAGCAAATACTTATGACTGTTTAGTCTGAACAGATGAAATAAGGTAAAGTCAAAGAGCATAATATGACGATGGATGTAGATAGGACACAGGTAAACTTCTTCACCAGACCACCAAGTTTTAGAATAGGAAAGGACAGACTGATGGAACATTATCACTGTGAAAGGAAAATATCTTGGGCCCCCAAAATCACTAAGCTAAAGGGAAAATTCAAGCTGAGAACTGTTTAGGGCATACCTGCCTCCCATTCTATTCAAAGTCATCCCTCTGCTCACTGAGATAAATGCATATCTGATTGCCTTCTTTGGAGAGGCTAATCAGAAACTCAAAAGAATGTGACTGTTTGTCTCTCAGCTACCTGTGCCCTGAAGCCTGTCCCCACTTTGAGTTGTCCAGCTTTTTTGCTTCAAATTGTCCCGCCTTTCTGGACCAAATCAGTGTTCATTTTACATGTGTCAATTGATGTCTCATCCTCCCTAAAATGTATAAAACCAAGCTCTGCTCTGACCACCTTAGACACATGTTGTCAGGACTTCCAGGGGCTGTGTCATAGGTGTGTGTCCTCAACCTTGGCAAACTAAACTATCTAAATTAACTGAGACCTGTCTCAGATTTTCAGGGTTTACATCTGACAAATCTCCTTTCAGTGCTTGGTGCCAACATCAGCTAACTCTATGGCTCAAAACAACAGGACAATTTGCTGAGGTCTGGGAGCAGCACCTCCAGAGAATCCCTTATCTCCCCAAATTTGGTCGAGATCTAAAGTTTATTTTGCTGTACAACTCCATTTTTTGGAGTTTTACTGGCTTTCAACCAGGAAGACAAGATTTCCTGTTTCCATGACGATGACGACGACGATGGAAGGCAGGTAACTCCTTTATGGAGTTTGAGCTCGCTCCCAGCAGGGAAGATGAGTTTTTTCCTACTTCTAGAATGGTAGAAAGCATTCTTCAGCCTGAGACCCATCCCTAGGTAAGCAGCCGCATGGGAGTTTTTGTCTTGACTAAAGTTTAACAACCAGCTGGTCTTAATTTCTCCTTACCATTAGAGCACTCATTGATCATATTGTTGGAGTTTTGTTGTTGTTGTTGTTGTTGTTGTTGTTGTTGGTTGTTCTGGTCTTTCTCCCATCAGATTTGATCAACTCTACCTGACTTGGTCAAATAAGAGTAAGAATTCAAAATTATAGGTAACAAGGTTTCTCTAATCTGGCCCAAATTCCTTACAGCTGCAAAAGAGAATTAAAAAAACAAAAAACAACAACAAAAAAAACGTGCACTTGGTTTTTATGTTTGCTTCCTGCAATACCAAAAAAATCTAGAGAAGGCTTCTAATGACTTGAACTCCTTTAAAGAATTCAAAACAAAGGTGCCACTCACCCCTTTTGGCCTTTTGGGTGTTCTGTTTTCTTTGGGGAGTTTTAAGAGCCATGGGCAGATTCTTCTTTGGTCTAAAGCTCTGTTTTCCTGTATTGCATGACCTGACCTCTATGGATTTGGGAATACCAGAGATAACCTTGCACTGTGAGAGGATTTGATGTTGGTGTGTATAATGTCGAATGACAGCTACAAATTTACAAGCAGCTGAATACAGTTTACAGGACCTGGTCTTGGCTGTCTTTATTTCCTTTCTTGCCTAGGAAGTTATTTGCTTAAGGATCCTAATTCTAGTTCGGAGACGCATTCTAAAGGGTTTTCTTTATTGCTTTTTCTCCCAAAATAATCTCAATTCGGTTCGTCTGTGTGCATTTGCATGAGGAACTGAACTGTTGTTTTCATAGGTAAATAAGAGACAGAGTTTTCTCAGTTCTGAAAAGAAAAGGCCTCCCAGCCGAAAGGCACCCATGGGTGACGGGGGCCTTCGTGAGAGTGTCTGAGGGGTTGACCCCTATGACATGCAATGGCCCTGCAGGAAAATCCCCAACAAAAATTAATTTTAAAAATGGCTCATCCAGGAAACACATATAAGGGCTGATCACCCGGCATTTTGAGCCCTCTCAGAGGTCTCAAAAGAGAGAGAAACTGAGACACATAAGGGGTGGAAACAATTCAGTGGTGACACACTATGGAGTCCTGCCTACAAGCAGCATGCATCAATCCACCACACAAAAACCCCAGGCCACAGCTCATTTCCTCCTTTTAAGACCAAAAAAAAAAAAAAAGAAAAGCAGGAAACAGATAATCTAAGAATTAGGAGAAAACAAGGAGAATGACCTGCTTTCAAGCACTATGTAGGTTTTATGGCACTTCTACTTGCCAGAATAAAATGAAAGTAATATGGTCTTTGTGTACATTTACATTAATGAAAAAGTGCCCTGAGGTCAACCTGCAAACTATAGAGTTCCTAGGTTCCCTTTATCTCCATTTTCATTTCTGCCTGCTTTAAATCTGCTGTTACTTTTCTACTGAGATAAAAACAGCTGTTTGGATCTAACAGGTATTCTTTTTTTAATTTTTTTATTTTTGCAAGCTGGCTAATGTGTATGTATCAAAAGGCTAGAGTACTGAGGTAAAAGCTATAGAATCTTCGTGTGTGTATGTGTATATGCATATGTGTATGTGTATACATTTGAGGGCCTTTATAATAGACTTCTATAATTTTATGTTTAATCAGCCATTAAATCCGTTTTAATTTTCCTCTAGCTCACCAGACTTTCTCTTCATACCTTATGACGTAAATTTTGTTATCTGATTAAAGGAGTTGTTTCCTTTAATATGCAAATTTAAGGCTATTTAGCTGACAATGGCCTAGGGTAAGGTTTTTTTAAAAAAGGAAAAGAAAGAAGTCTTTATGAATCTATAAGATGTACTTCTACTGGCATGCCTAATACTTCTATATATTTATGTGTTGTGTATACAATGTTTCACTACTAAAAATATATAAAAGAGCTGTAATTAATTGGCTTAACAAAAAAGGAATTAAAATCAGATACTAAACAAAAGACTAGTAAAATGCTTTTTCAACTTCATATTACTTAAGTAAAATCTTTAATAAATAAGCTGGCTTTAAAATTATTGGTAAAATAATATTAGAAATGTCATAAGAATTTGACAGTATACATTTTTGTTAGCATTTATTAGTCAAGCAATTTTATACTTATCCCTGACAAGTACTCCAAGGTGTCAAAATTTGGCATAGAGGTTACAAAACTATAAATCCAGGCCAAAACAGAATGATCTTTGCTTGTGTAATCTTTAATTAAATAAGACATTAATATTGGTTTATTAAAAATAGCTACATCTTGAATTTAATAAGATTATCATAACTTCTAATCTTGTGGCTTTAGGCGGTCTAGTCCACAGGCAGTAAAGTTTGTTATTGCCTGTTTTTAAAGCTAAACTATAAATTCCTCCCAAAGTTAGTTCAGTCTACACCAAGGAATGGACAAGGATAGCTTGAAGGTTAAAAGCAAGATGGAGTCAGCTAAGTCAAATTTTCTTCACTGTCTCAGTTATAATTTTGCAATGACAGATCCATAACTTAAATGATAACTATCACAGTTTTCATAAACACTCTAGGTAAACATTTAAATAAAATAATTAGGTAAATGTAATAGGATAAATATTTGTACACAAACTTGTTAAAATTTAGAATCTAAAGTTATATTAAGTTAAATAATAGATATGTTATTATTTGGGTATTTTCCAATAAAAATATATTTGTAGGAAAACATTCTTTCAAAAAAAAAGGTGTGTCCTGTAAAAAAAAGGTGAGCAATTTTTGTCTAATTCAAAGCTTACTTAAAGGTCATGTATAAAACAAGGTAAAAGTGGCCGGGTGCGGTGGCTCACGCCTGTAATCCCAGCACTTTGAGAGGCTGAGGCAGGCAGATCACGAGGTCAGGAGATCGAGACCATCCTGGCTGACACGGTGAAACCCTGTCTCTACTAAAAATACAAAAAAATTTAGCCAGGCGTGGTGGCGGGCGCCTGTAGTCCCAGCTACCTGGGAGGCTGAGGCAGGAGAATGGCCTGAACCTGGGAGGCGGAGCTTGCAGTGAGCTGAGATCACGCCACTGCACTCCAGCCTGGGCGACAAAGCGAGACTCCATCTCAAAAAACACAAGGTAAAAGGAACCAGGAAATAAAAGAGATGTAAAGAAAGTTATAAAAATAAATAGGTTTTTCTTGCTAAGAAAGCTTTACGAGAAATAATTTCATATACAAAAGAATCTCCTGTATGGTAAATTTAGTCCTAGAGTAAAATGATTGCTTATTTAAGAAAGAGGGATGTTCAGAACAAACCATACAGTTGAAGCATGTCATGAATGGTCTGTGTAAGTTATAGTAAGAGGATTTAGTTTTTAGAAACCCCAAAGTTTTAAATAATCAAGTTGTCATATTATTATTAATATGGTTTGGTTTTCTTAGGAAAAAAACTGAAATTAATCTTTTTTTTTAGTTAAGGTTATTACATCCATGTATCTGTCTGTATGCACTTTTAAAGTACTTGTGAAATTGAGTTACAGGGCTTCGACTCCTGTGTCTAAAAAGAATACAAAGTCCTGCTAAATTTTAAACACTGATGGTAATTAAAGCCCCATCTTCAGGTCTGGTAGAAGACACCAATCAAAATAAACTGCATTCCTGAAACACAGACAGACGTTAAAGCTATTCAAGTCCTCAAGTCCCAGAGACTATTGAGGAAGAGGTGGGAGTGTGACATTGGAAGGGCTGATATTGAGAGATAAAGTAAGTTCAGTTTCTCTATAAATAAATAATTAATGTCAAAGGCACACTGATGCAATACCAGCATATAGGCCCATTTCAGATTAACAAGGTTTTCTTGAAGCATTTACCACCTCCTAAATAAAAGTTATGAAAGGCTTATGGAAGTTATATCTTATTGTTAAGATTAAAATTTTACAGATTGTTTATGAAATTTGGGAAAATAAATCTAATTGGCTTCATGTTGTTTTTATTAGGGCTTATTGTTTGGAAAATTCAGTCTCCTCTCTCAAAGAATGAAGGTTTTTACCTTTTTTTTGAAATTCTTGAGTTATCACTTTGGTCAAATAAATGATTTATTGTACAATTACCTGTGACATCAAGTGTTTTAAACCTTTGATATTTGACAAGCTTTCCAAAATAAAATTATAACATGTCTTTTTCTGACCTAACTGATCCTTTAAGACATTAGTTTCCCTAAAGTCCAAAAATGATATAATTTGGCTTATTTCGTATACAAATTATACAGGAAACATTGTCAAATATGAAATGACATTTGTTTTTCTTTAGGCTGTATTTGTACAAATATGTTACTGCTATGTGTTCCAAAATTATGGGAAACTTCTATGTTTCTGATGTGACTAAGTGTACATTATCAGTAATAATTATAATAGTGTACATTATCAGTAATAATTATAATTGTTATGTTAAATTATTGTGTGCCACAGAGGTAACAAATTTCCTTATCAATTGTGTTTTTGACTATGACTGCCATAAAACTTTTTGTCATCCATGGACAATTGTTGTCTTGTTTTGCTCCTCCTTAGAATGTGGTTTTATAATCAGCTATAGAACTCTAACAGGTGTCCTTAAAAGCAGGTTTCTGATAACTTTGGAGATTGTGACATTACAATGGAGGAAAAAACTTTCAATACTCTCATGGAGAGCTGAAATATTCATGAATATCAAGGAGAACAGGAGTAAACTGCATGAACTGAACTAATAGAAGACTAAAGTAATCTTTTTAACTTTTTGGTTAAAATATTGTTGATTCTTTATTTTGTTTTCCAGAGTCAAGAAAACTTTTAAGCTGTTTACAGCTTTTAATAATTGAGTAAGGTATACTCCTGTGAACAAAATTTGGAGCATATTTTTTTCTCTCTACCTGATTTCTCCAAAATTTGGAAACTATTTGTGAGTATTCTTAACTTATGACAATATAGTTATTTGCATAAGTGTAATAAGAATCTTTCATTTATAACAGGACATAATTCGAGAAACTGGTTATTTTACCAAGGCTTTTACTGAAATGGTGTGCTTTCCTTTAAGGAATGAAACTTGATTTATGGAGCAAATAAAAGACCCTTGGAAAAACTGGCCTCATACCTTTGTCTACATAGCCCCTGTACATGTTTTCTGACTTGTGGCAAGTAAGGATTGTCACTTTCTAACAGGAGCCAGGAGCCCTAAGTTTATCTTGGAACCTCAGGAGGAGAGGATCGTTGAACTCATAGGTATTTAATGGCACAAATCCATAGCCTGGCTCGGCTTTAGAAAGTCTTATCTGGGACTCTTTCTGTGGAACACAGTTCCATCAAATCGAATTTAAAAGCCTATGTAAGGCCAGCTACAGTGGCTTACACCTGTAATCCCAGCATTTTAGGAAGCCGAGACAGGCGGATTACTTGAGGTCAGGAGTTTGAGACCAGCCTGGCCAACATAATGAAACTCTTCCTCCACCAAAAATACAAAAAGTAGCCAGGTGTGGTGGTAGGCAACTGTAATCCCAGCTACTCAGGAGGCTGAGGCATAAGAATAATTTGAACCTGGGAGGCGGAGGTTGCAGTGAGCCAGTATCACTTCTCTGCACTCCAGCCTCAGTGACAGAGTGAGACTCCATCTCAAATAAATAAATAAATAAAATAAAAGCCTATGTAAAAAAATAATTATTCTTGCTGCACTGTATACAAATAATTAGACCCAGTATAATAAAACAAACCAGTCTTACCATGATTTGTCTTTAGTAAAAATGGGAAACTGGAGACAGAAAAATTATGTTTCAAAAACTATAGTACACCTGTTGTTAGATTCTAATCTTGCCTAATGTTTTTCCATTTTTATTATTTTCTACCATTTGGACCTAATTCTAATTTTTCTTGGCTACAACTCTTCAATATAGCATTTTTCATTTTTTCCCCTGCTTCTTTCCCCCATTTTTCCTAATTTGCAGTCACTGAAAACTAAGCTGTGCTTCTGTAAAGCCCTGTGAACTGAAGCTAGACAACTTAAACTTCAGAAGAAAATAACAGCAACCTATTTACATACATAAACAACTTTCATACCTATCTACTAATGTATGGACTTTAGAGTAATGTGGCCTATATCAATTTTCCAGGATTGTTCTTTTGTTTGTTGTTGTTTTTCTCCCTTCCTCTCTGTATTTTCTCTTCATAGAATATGAGACTTCACAACCTTCTAAAAATGACCTTTCCTAATAACTCAGGACCTACCTGTCTAGGAATAAACCATCCTAGCCATGAGAGATCAGACAAAACTTGGAACCTGAGGCTCATTTTCTTCTAAAATGCTTTCTCCAAAAGATTTTTAGAAAGAAAAGGGGGGAAATGTGAAAGGAAAATATCTTGGGCCCCCAAAAGCCCTAAGCTACAGGGAAAATTCAAGCTGGGAACTGCTTAGGGTCAACCTGCTTCCCATTCTATTCAAAGTCATCCTTCTGCTCACTGAGATAAATGCATATCTGATTGCCTCCTTTGGAAAGGCTAATCAGAAACTCAAAAGAATTAAACCATTTGTCTCTCACCAACCTGTGCCCTGAAGCCTGTCCCCTCTTTGAGTTGTCCCACCTTTGCTTCAAG